>NT_187598.1:0-161083 GCF_000001405.40 Homo sapiens
ACTATCCTAAAAAAATGGCTACGATAAATGGGATAAAAAGATGTTTTAATCAGTGAGAATAGTGGAGCATATATTTAACCATCTGTATCATACCAACCATATTTTGATTATGGGTATAATTATCTAATTCCTTTTTGAGCTAGGAAGACTTTTGAAACATAGAGAGCAACGTAGTGGTTCTATCCATGAAATGAAAATGGGATTTTATGTAACGCATTTAATATTATTTGAGCTGAGACCTGGGATGTTTGATGAACTCTGTCAGAACATGTAATAATCTTGGAGGATAAGAATGGCATTTGGGGCCGGGCGCGGTGGCTCACGCCTGTAATCCCAGCACTTTGGGAGGCTGAGGCAGGCGGATCACCTGAGGTCAGGAGTTTGAGACCAGCCTGACCAACATGGTGAAACCCCGTCTCTACTAAAAATACCAAAAATTAGCTGGGCGTAGTGGCGCGTGCCTGTAATCCCAGCTACTCAGGAGGCTGAGACAGGAGAATCACTTGAACCCAGGAGTCAGAGGTTGCAGTGAGCTGAGACTGCGCCATTACCCTCCAGCCTGGGCAACAAGAGCGAAACTCTGTCAAAAAAAAAGAATGGCATTTGGCAAGATGAGACTTTGGTTCCTAACTGCTCTAGGACCTAGGCTGGCTTGAGGTTCAGAGTGCCGGTTACTCTCCATTTGACTGTCCCCATTTCCCCTGCAACATCCATTCTTTGCTCTTCTCTGCCCTACTCTGTGACCTGAAGTCTGATCCCCATGGAGTGTTTCATCCAGGCTCTCTTGCTCTCTGGCTTCTCACTTCTGGTTGAGCTCAGCCAGTAGGAGGAATGGCACAAGATGGGAGGGGAATATGGGCAGAGAAAGTAGTTGCAGTACAGTTGTTCTTGGTATCTGTGGGGGATTGGTTCCAGCACCCCCCAACCATGGATGCTCAAGTCCCTTATACAGTTAAGTCCTCCCCTAGCATCATCAATAGGTTCGTGGAAACTGTGACTTTAAGTGAAAAGATGAATAAAGGAACTCATTAACCATAGGCTAATTGATAGAAACAAGAGCTAAGTTCCTATGGCATATTTCTGCTTATAAAAATATCACCAAACTTCTAAATAAAGACCCAAAACCTTTCTAATATTAAACACTGAAATAGACCGGGCATAGTGGCTCATGCCTGTAATCCCAGCACTTTGGGAGGCCGAGGTTGGAGGATTACTTGAGGCCAGGAGTTCGAGACCAGCCTGGTCAACACAGTGAGACCTTGTCTCTACCAAATATTCAATAAATAAAATATTGAAATAAATGTGAGTGATACATACATTTAAGAAAGATTAATAAAATCAAGCAAGATAATTATTTACCCAATGATTCCATTTCAGGGTTGCAGGTGGCCAGAGCCTATCCTGGCAGCTCAGGGCACAGGTGGGAACTAACCCTAGGCAGGACAGAGTTCCATTGCAGGGCTCTCTCTGTCTGTCTCTCTCTCTCTCTCTCTCTCACACACACACACACACACACACACACACTCACTTACACTAGGACAATGTATTTATTTGTTGTAGAGATAGGGTCTTGCTCTGTTGCTCAGGCTGGAGTTCAGTGGTGCAATCATGGCTCACCGAATCCTCAAACTCCTGGGTTCAAGCAATCCTCCTACCTCAGTCTCCTGAGTAGCTGGGACTACAGGTGTGTGCCATCATGCCCTGTTCATTTTTAATTTTTTTGTAGAGATGGGGTCTCACTTTGTTGCCCAGACTGGTCTTGAACCCCTGGACTCAAGTGATCCTCCTGCCTGGACCTCCCAAAGTGCTGGGATTACAAGTGTGAGCCACTGCACCTGGCAACACTGGGACAATTTGGACACACCAATTCCCCTAATGTGCACAGCTTTGGAATGTGGGAGAAAACTGGAGTCCCTGAGAAAACCCACGCAGATGTAGGGAGAATGTGCTGACACCACACAGACTGCAGCTCTGGCCAGGAATCGATTTTTTCTCATCAATATTATAACAAAATGATGTCGAATGAAATGATGTTCTTCAAGGATCTGCTGTATAAAATCATTAGTATTTGCATATTACCTACACATATCTGCCCATATACTTTAAGTCATCTCTAAATTACTTGTAATTCCTAATACTACATAACTGCTATGTAAATAGTTATACTGTATTGTTTAGGGAATAATGACAGGAAAAAAAGTCTACATGTTTAGTAAAGATGCAGCCATCCATTTTTTTCTTCATCTTTTAAAAAATATCTTCAATCTGTGGTTAGTTGAATCCATGGATGCATACCCCATAAATATGGAGGGTTGACTGTATTTTTTGTCTCTCTTTGCTTCCAGGCCTCAGTGCTGTCAGGGACTGTCTTCCAGGACAAGTGCTTTGATACAGCTGATCTACAGGGTTCCCTAGTTGTATTTATCTGTTCTCACATTGCTATAAAAGAATACCTGGGACTGGGTAATTTATAAAGAAAAGAGGTTTAATTGGCTCAGAGTTCCACAGGCTATACAGGAAGCATGATGCTGGCATCTGCTTGGCTTCTGGGCAGGCCTTGAGAAATTTACAATCATGGCAGAAGTAAAGGAGGAGCAGGCACATCTTACCTGGCAGAGCAGTAGCAAGACAGAGCGAGAGAGGAGGTGCCATAAAACCAGATCTTGGGAGAACTCACTATTGAGAGAACAGCACCAAGAGGATGGCGCTAAACCATCATGAAGAACCAGCTCCCATGATCAAATTGCCTCCTACCAGGCCCCACTTCCAACATTGGGGATTACAACTGGACATGGGATTTGGGTGGGGACACAGATCTAAACCATACCATTCTGCCCTCAGCCCTTCCCAAATCTCATGTCCTTCTCACATTGCAAAATACAATCATCCCTTCTCAACAGTCCCCCAGTCTTAACTCATTTCAGCATTAGCTCAAAAGTCCAAAGTCCAAAGTCTCATCTGAGACAAGGCTAGTCCCACTTATGAGCCTGTAAAATAAAAAAACAAGTTAGTTACTCTTAAGATACAATGGGGGTATTGGCATTGGGTAAATACTCCCATTCCAAAAGGAAGAAATTAGCCAAAAGAAAGAGGCTACAGACCCCACACAAGTTTGAAACCCAGAAGGGCAGTCATTACATCTTAAAGCTCCCAAATAATCTCCTTTGACTCCATGTCCCACATCCAGGCCACACTGATGCCTTTCTGCCTGTGTGACTTTGCAGTGTTCAGCCCCCAGTGACTGCTCTCACAGACTGGTGTTGAATGTCTGCAGCTTTTCCAGGCACACGGTGCGAACTGTTGGTGGATCTACTATTCTGGGGTCTGGAGGAGGGTGGCCCACTTCTCACAGCTCCACTAGGCAGTGCCCCAGTGAGGACTCTGTGTGGGAGCTCCAACCCCACATTTCACCTCTACACTGCCCTAGTAGAGGCTCCCCGTGAGGGCTCTGTCCCTGAAGCAGGCTTCTGCCTGGACATCTTGGCTTTTCCATACATCCTCTGAAATCTAGGCAGAGACTCCCAAGCCTCAACTCTTTCACTCTGTGCACCTGCAGGCCTAACACCATGTGGAAGCCACCAAGGCTTATGGCTTGCACCATCTGAAGCAGAGGCCTGAGTTCTGGGCCCCTTTGAGCCATGGCTGGAGCTGGAGTGGCCAGGATGCAGGGAGCAGTGTTCAGAGGCTGTGCAGGGCAGTGGAGCCCTGGGCCTGTCCCACAAAACCATTCTTCCCTTCTAGGACTCTGGGCCTATAATAGGAGGGGCTGCTGTGAAGGTCTCTGAAATGCCTTCAAGGGCTTCTCCCCATTGTCTTGTCTATTAGCACTTGGCTCCTTTTTACTTATGCACACTTCTTCAGCCTGCTTGAATTTTTCCCTGGAAAAATGGGCCTTCTTTTCTACCACATGAGCAGGCTGCAAATGGTTCCAAACATTTACGCTTTGCTTCCCTTTTAAATACAAGTTCCAACTATAGGCCATTTCTTTGTTCATGTATATGTGATAGGTTGTTAGAAGCAGCCAGGCCACATCTTGAACATTTTGCTGCTTAGAAATTTCTTCTGCCAGATACCCTAAATCATCACTCTCATGTTCAAAGTTCCACAGATCCCTAGGGCAGGAGCACAAGGCAGCCAAGTTCTTTGCTAAGGCATAGCAAAAGTGATCTTTGCTCCAATTCCCAATAAGTTCCTCATTTCCATCTGAGATCTCCTCAGCCTGGACTTCACTGTCCATATCACTATCAGTATTTTGGTCACAACCATTTAACCAGTCTGTAGGAAGTTCCACACTTTCTCTCATCTTCCTATCTTCTTCTGAGCCCTCCAAACTATTCCAGTCTCTGCCCATTACCCAGTTCCCCAGTCACTTTCACATTTTTAGGTATCAGTATAGCAATGCCCCACTCCCAGTACCAATTTTCTGTATTAGGCTGTTCTCACATTGCCATAAATAAATACCTCAGGCAGGGCACTGTGGTTCATGCCTGTAATCCCAGCACTTTGGGAGGCTGAGGCGGGCAGATCATTTGAGGTCAGGAATTTGAGATCAGCTTGGCCAACATGGTGAAGACCTGTCTCTACTAAAAATACAAAAATAAAAATTAGCTGGGTGTGGGTAAATGCATCTGTAATTCAAGCTACTCAGGAGGCTGAGGCACAAGAGTCACTGAACCCAGGAGGCGGAGGTTGCAGTGAGCAACATTGCACCACTGCACTCCAGTCTGGGTGACAGAATGAGACTCTTGTCTCCAAAAAAAAAAAAAAAAAAAAGAAATACCTCAGGCTGGGTAATTTATAAAGAAAAGAGGTTTAATTGGCTCATGATTCTACAGGCTGTACAAGAAGCATGACACTGGCATCTGCTTGGCTTCTGGGGATGCCTCAGGAAACTTACAATCATGGCAGAAGGTGAAGAGGGAGCAGGAATGTCTTACATGGAAGAGCAGAAGAGAGAAGAAGTGAGGAGGTGCCACACGTTTTCAAACAGCCAGCTCTCAGGAGATTCACTCAGTATCATGAGAATAGCACCAAATGGATGGCGCTAAGCCATCAGGAGTAACCCACCTCCATGATCCAATCACCTCCCACCAGGCCCCACCTCCAGCAATGGGGATTACAACTGAACATGAGATTTGGGTGGGGACGCAGATCCAAACCATATCATTAGTGGAGTGAGATGTTGCTGGAAAAGTTGGCAGGGACCAAGTCCTGAAGGACTCTCTTTGTTTTGGATTTTATTCTGGAGAGTGTAGGGATTCATGAAAGGGTTTTAAGTAAGGGGATGTGATGACTGGGTTTATGTTTTGTAAAGATCACTCTGCAAGCATTGTGGAGGAAGGATGGGAGGAAGAAAATGTCAAAGTTGGGGAGTCCATTTACAAATTAACTGTCCCAGACCAGGCATGAAATGACAAATATTGAGTTAAATCAATTCCAGTGTATACAGAGAGAAAGGAATGGATTTCAAGCACCACTGCCCTTCTCATACTGAAAGGTATCAGTGGAGGCCTAATGAGGTGCAGGAACTCTCACCCCAACACAGTAGAGACATGGAGCACCCCAGCTTGGTGTCAAAGGAGGCTGAGTGGGTATCTGGACCTTTATCCACATTTGGCAGTAACAAGGCAGCAGTGCTCCCTTCTCCTGCTGGAGTAGTATCACACACACATAAGAAAACCAGCCAAAAAGAAGGTTAAGATATAGAGTCTCATAACACAATACGCAAATATCTCAGATTCCATTGAAAATGAGTGCCATGTCAAGAGCTAGTAAATCTCAAACTGAATGAAAAAAAAATACAATCAACAGATGCAAATACCAAGATGACAGAGATGTTAGAACTATTTGAAAAAGATAAAAATGCTTCAGTGAAAAATTATGAACATGCTTGAAGTAAGTGAAAAAATTGAAAGTCTCAGCAAAGAAATAGAAGAATGAAATAGAAATTTTTAGAAATTAAAAATACAATAAGTAAAATAAAATATCCAGCAGATGAGCTTAATTTGCTGAGGTGACAGAGGAATGAATCAGATAATTTGAAGATAGAACAATAGAAATTGAGCAATAGAGAAAAATAGACTTAAAAGGAATGAACAGAGCTTCAGGGACCTGTGGGTCTATAATGAAAGGTCTAACATTCATGTAATTGAAGATCCAAAGAAAAAGAGAAAGAAGGGACTTCCTTGTAAAAGTACTCAAATAATAATACCAGAAAAATTCCCAAATATGGTAAAATACATAAACCTACAGATTTAAGATGCTGAGTATATTCCAAACAGGATAAACCCAGAGAAATCTACAACATTAACATAGTCAATCTTCTGAAAACAAAAGACAAAGAAAAAATATTAAAAGCAGAGCAAGAGAAACAACACCTTAAGTATAAGGGAAAAAAGTATAAATGTCAGTTAATTTCTCCTCAGAAACCACAAAGGCCAGAAGGAAATGGCAAAACAGTTTTCATGTGCTAGAAGACTATCAACCCAGAATTTTATACCCAGAGAATATATCCTTCATGAATAAAGAAGCCACAGCATTCTCAGATGAAGAAAACTATGAGAATCTGTTGGCAGACCACCCTAAGAGAATGACTAAGTGAAGTCCTCTAAGCAGAAAGGAAACAATAAAAGAAGGAATCTTGGAATACCAGAAAAGGAAAACATGGAAGTCAAAATACAGGTGAATACAGAACACCTTCCAAAACTCCTACTGAGTTTTCTAGATTATATTTAGTAGTTGAAGCAAAAATTATAACACTGTCTGGTATTGTTCTAAATGTATAAGGAGAAAGTAGTTAACATAAATAAATCTGGGAGGATAAAGGGAGGTAAAGAAAGGTAAAGCTTCTATACTTGAACTGGTAAAATGACACTTGTAACTATGATAAAATTTTGTATATATGTGTGTTTGTGTATACACATATAATTTCATATTATATATAACTATATTCTATATATAAATTCATATTTTATAAAATTATACAATAAAATATGTTATATTAGAAATCATTTATTATATATCTAAATTATAACACATTATTTAAATAATAAAATATGTTATATTTTATATTTCTGTAAAATGTAAAATTATATAAATATAATTTATAATTATATAAAGTATATTTATATAATATACTATAGATTAAATATTTATAATTCAATATTTATAATTTAATTATAGACTAAATATTTTATAATATACTATAGATTAAATATTTATAATTCAATATTTATAATTTAACTATAGACTATATATTTTATAATATATTATAGATTAAATATTTTATGTTTCTAAAATAGTTTTTTTTTGAGACAAGGTCTCATTCTGTTGCCCAGGCTGGAGTGCAGTGGTGCGATCTTGGCTCACTGCAACCTCCACCTCCCAGACTCAAGCGATTTTCCTATCTTAGCCTCCCAAATAACTGATATAGTTTACCACAAGGTAAACTATAAGGTATTACCACAAGGATCCCTCCTCTTGCTCCTTTATGGCCACACCCATTTCCCTCCAGCTGCACACCTCCCACCTCCTTAACCTGTGGTAACCACTAATCTGTTCTCCATTTTTAAACCTTCTTTTTGGCTGCTTTGTGTGTGTATGTGTGTGTGTGTGACACTACCCCAGCAGTAGAAGGGGGCACTGCCTTGTGACTAACAGATGGGGTAAAGGTGAGCCTCCTCTGACACCAAGGTAGGGTGCTCTGTATCTCTACTGTGTGGGGGTGAGAGTTCCAGCAACCCACTAGGCCTCCACTGACACCACCATGCTCAGCTAAATTTTGAATTTTTTGTAGAAATGGGGTTTTGTCATGTTACCCAGGCTGGTCTCAAACTCCAGGGCTCAAGTGATCTACTCACCTTAGCATCCCATAGTGCTGGGACTATAGGCATGAGCCACAGTATCAATATCCTGACTGTGATATTGTACTATATATAGTTTTACAATACAATATTGTATTATTATATTATATTGCATTATATTATAAAATGGTATTGTAATAATATAATATAATATAATATAATATTTCATGCCCAGCCGAGAACCCAGAAATATTTTTTTAACTTCATTTACATATATGTACATTTTTTATAGAGACAAGGTCTCACTATGTTGCCCAGACTGGTCATGAACTCATGGGCTCAAGGTATCTTCTCGTCTCAGCCTGCCAAAGTGCTAGGATTACAAGTGTGAGCCACCGCGTCTTGCTGAGAACCCAAAAATAGAGCCACACAAATATCCCCAACATATATTTTACAAAAGTGCAAAAACAATTCAATGAAGGAAAGCTAGCCTTTTGAACAAATGGTCCTGGAATATTTGGACACCCATAGGCACAAACACTAACAATAATGAACTTGGACCTAAATCTCACACCTTATAAAGAATTAACCCGGCCTGGTGCAGTGGCTCACGCCTGTAATCCCAACACTTTGGGAGGCCGAGGCGGGTGGATCACTTGAGGTCAGGAGTTCAAGACCAGCCTGACCAATATGATGTAACTCCGTCTCTACTAAAAATACAAACATTAGCCAGGCGTGGTGGCATGTGCCTGTAATCCCAGCTACTCGGGAGGCTGAGACAGGAGAATCACTTGAACCCGGGAGGTGGAGGTTGCAGTGTGCCAAGATCGCACCATTGCTCTCCAGCCTGGGCAACAAGAGTGAAACTCCATCTCAAAAAAAAAGAAAGAAAGAAAGAAAAAAAAAGAAAGAAGGAAGGAAGGAGGGGAAGGAAGGGAAAAAAAAGAAAGAAAAAATAAAGATTAATCCAAATGGATAATGGATGTAAATGTAACACGTAAAACTATAAAATTTTAGCAAGAATTCTAGCAGAAATTCATTCTTCGGGACCTAGGAGTAGGAAAAGAATCATTGGACTTGACATTAAATGCACAATTCATAAAAGGAAAACCTGGCAAATTGGACTTTATCAAAATTAAAAACTTCCTCTGTGATAGATGCTGTTAATAGGATGAAAAGATGAGCTACATACCAGGTGAATATATTTGCAAACCATATACCTGATAAAGAATTTCTTTCTTTCTTTCTTTTGATGCAGAGTCTCGCTCTGTTGCCCAGGTTGGAGTGCGGTGGCACCATCCAGGCTCCCTGCACCCTCTGCCTCCTGGGTTCAAGCAATTCTCCAGCCTCCGCCTCCCAAGTAGCTGGGATTACCGGCACACACCACCACACCCATCTAATTTTTGTAGTTTTAGTAGAGACGGGGTTCACTGTGTTGGCCAGGCTGGTCTCGAACTCCTGGCCTCAAGCAATCCACCTCCCTTGGCCTCCCAAAGTGCTGGGATTACAGGTATAAGCCACTGTACCTGGCCAGTATTTCTTTTCCATTCCTTGCCTTTTTCTTGCTTCCTTCCTTCCTTTCTCCCTCCCTTCCTCCTTCCCTCCCTTCTTTCTCTCTCTTTTCCATCCCTTGCTCTCTCCTTTCTTTTCTCTTTTTTCTTTCTTTTCTTTCTTTCTTTCCTCTATTCCTTCCTTCCTCCCTCCCTCCCTTCTTCCCTCCCTTCTTTCTTTTTCTTTTCCATCCCTCACTCTCATTTTTCTTTTCTTTTTTCTTTTCTCCTTTCCTTTTCTTTCTCTCTTTCCTTCCTTCCTTCCTTCCCTCTTTCTTTCTTTCTTCCTTTCTTTCCTCTATTCCTTCCTTCCTTCCTTCCTTCCTTTCCTCCTCTCTCTTTCTTTCTTTCAACAGAGTTTTACTCTGTTACCCAGGCTGGAGTGCAGTGGTGCCATCACAGCTCACTGCAGCCTTGACCTCCTGGGCTCAGGTGATTCTCCCACCTCAGCTTCTGAGGTAGCTAGGACTACAGGCAAGCATCACCACACCCAGCTAATTAAAAATTTTTTTTTTCTTTTTTTTGGGTAGCAACAGGGTCTCCCTATGTTGCCCAGGCTGGTCTCTAACTCTTGGGCTCAAGTGATCCTCACACCTTGGTTCCCCAAAGTGCTGGAATTAGAGGCATGAGCCACTGCTCCCAGCCCCGGATTTTTTTCTTAAATATATGAAGCAGGCTCAAAAATCTATAGTAAGAAACCCACACACAATCCAATTAGAAAATGGCCAAAGACATGAACAGACATTTCACCAAAGAGGATATACAGATGGCAAATGCACACATGAAAAGATATTCAGCATCATTAGCCATTAAGGAAATGCAAATTCAGTTCACAATGACATATCACTACGCACTTAACAATGACTAAAATAAAAAACCTTGACAACACCACATACTGTGGAGGATGCAGAGAAACAGGTTTACTCATATATCACTGGGAGAAAACAGCTTGTCAGTTTCTTAAAAAAACTGAATCTGGATATGACCCAGCAATTTTACTCCTGGGCATTTATCCCAGATAAATAAAAAGTTACATTCACAAAAAAACCTGTACATAAATGTTTATAACAGTTTCTTAGTAATAGCCAAAACCTGCAAACAACCCTGATGTATTGTTATGGATGAATGGTTAAACAATGTATGTCCACACCATGGAATACGATCTGCTATGGCTTAAATGTTTGTGCCTCTCCAAAATTCATGTTGAAGCTTAATCCCCAATGCAATCGCTTTAAGAGGTGAAGCCTTTAGGAGGTGATTAGTCAAGAGGGCTTTGCCCTCATGAATAGGATTAGTGCCTTTATAAAAGGGATTGAGGGAGTCTGATCCTTTTCGGCTTTTGCCCTTCTGTCATGTGAGGACCCAAGCATTCAACCCTTCTGCCATGTGAAAATACAGCAGTGAGAAGGAGCCATGTTGGAAGCAGAGAGAAGCCCTTACCAGACCCAAATCTGCTAGTGCCTTAATTTTGGACTTCCCAGTCTCGAGAACTGTGAGCAATACATTTCTATTATTTATAAATTACCTAGGCTAAGGTATTTTGTTATAGCAGCAGGAATGGATGGAGACAGTATTTAACAATCAAAAGGAATAAACTGCTGATGAATACAGCAACCTGGATGGATATCCAGAAATTTATGCTGAGTGAGAAAAAGCCAATCCCAAAAGGTTGCATATTTTGTGATGCTATATAAAACGTTCTTGAAATAATAAAATTATAAAAAGGAGCCCGGCTTGGTGGCTCACACCTATAATCCCAGCACTTTGGGAGGGCGAGGCGGGCAGATTGCTTGAGCCTAGGAGTTCAAGACCAGCCTGGGCAACATGGCAAAACCCCATCTCCACAAAATATACTGGTGGCATGCCTGTAGTCCTAGTTACTTGGGGGGCTGAGGTGGGAGGATGGCGTGAGCCTGAGAGGTCAAGGCTGCAGTGAGCCGAGATTGCGCCACTGCAGTCCGGCCTGGATGATAAAGACCCTCTCTCAAAAAAAAAAAATTATAGAAATGGAGAACAGATTACTGGTTACCAGAGGTTAAGGAGGTGAGAGTTATGGAGTGGCAGGGAAGTGGGTATGGCCATAAAGCAGCAAGAGGAGGGTAGTGGAAATGCTCTGTATCTTGACTGTATCAGTGTCAATATCCTGACTGTGATATAGAACTATATATAGTTTTACAATATAATACTGTATTATGATATAATACAGTATTATATTGTGTCATTATATTATATTGTATTATATTATAAAATTGTAATATAATGTTCCTTCCTTGGAGGAAACTGGGTAAAAAGTACATGGGATCTCTTTATATTATTTCTTACAACTGCATGTACATCTATAATTATCTCAAAATAAAATTTGGGCCAGGTGTGGTGGCTCATGTCTGTGGGAGGATCAGTTGAAGCCAGGAGTTCGAGACCAGCCTGGGCAATGTAGCAAGACCCCATCTCTAGAAAAATAAATGAATAAACAAAACAATTTTAATGAAAATATTATAAAGCAAACAACCGTGTAAACACCTGCCAATTAAGAAAAAAGAACTTGCCCAGGGCTGGTCGTGGTGGCTCATTCCTGTAATCCCAGCACTTTGGGAGGCTGAGGCAGGAGAATTGCTTAAGCCTGGGAGTTTGAGACCAGCTTGGGCAACAGAGTAAGACCCTGTCTCTACATAAAATAAAATAAACGTAAAACAAAATAAAGTAAAATAGATGAATAAAGTAAAATAAAAATAAAATAAAATAAAATAATAGCTAGGCTAGGTTTATGCCTGTGGTCCCAGCTTCTCAGGAGGCTGAGGTGGGAGGACAGCTTGAGCCCAGGAAGTCAAGGCTGCAGTGAGCTATGATCACACCACTGCACCCCAGCTTGGGTGACAAAGCAAGACCCTGCCTCAAAAACAAAAACAAAACAAAACTTGGCCAGCACTTCAGAAAAACAAAAAACAAAAAAACTTGGCCAGCACTTCAGAAGCTGCTACATGTCTCTTCCTATTCAAAATTACTTCCCCTAAATGTAACCACTATGTTGACTTTTTTTGTTTGTTTGTTTGAAACAGGGTTTTACTCTGTCACCCAGGCTGGAGCCCAGTGGTGCAGTGGCGATTATGGCTTACTGCAGCCTCAACATTCTGGGCTCAAGCAATCCTCCCACCTCAGCCTCCTGAGTAGCTGGGACTACAGGCATGCACCACACGCCTGGCTAATTTTATTGTTTTTTAGAGATGCGGTCTCACCCTGTTACCCAGGCTGGTCTGGAACCCCTGGACTCCAGCAATCCACCTGCCTCAGACTCCCAAAGTGCTGGGATTATAGGCATGAACCGCTGTGCCTGGCCCTTTTCTGAATTTTCACGGCAATAACTTTCTTGCTTTTGTTTATAGTCTTACCACTATCTCAAAAAAAAAAAAAAAAAAAGAACCTCTGTTCTATACACTCTTTTTTTTGTTTGTTTTTGAGATGGAGTCTCGCTCTGCCACCCAGGCTGGAGTGCAGTGGTGTGATCTCAGCTTACTGCAAGCTCCGCCTCCTGGGTTCATGCCATTCTCCTGCCTCAGCCTCCCGAGTAACTGGGACTACAGGCACATGCCATAGTCCCCGGCTAATTTTTTGTATTTTTAGTAGAGACGGGGTTTCACCGTGTCAGCCAGGATGGTCTCGATCTCCTGACCTTGTGATCCGCCCGCCTTGGCCTCCCAAAGTGCTGGGATTACAGGCGTGAGCCACCGTGCCTGGCCCGTTCTATACACTTTGAAGATGAAACGTTTTCCTCTAAAACTGCTTCAGTTACATCCCCAACCAGGTTTGATATGAAGTATTTTCCTTATCATTCTGTTAACAATGTTCTATAAGATCACTATGATTTCATTTTTGACTCCCACACGTAGGGAGTAGCTTTTATGTTGTTGTTTGGTTATTGATTTCTAGTTTAACTGCAGTGCGGTGAGGGAACAAATCTAAATCATTACCATCCTTTGAAATTTGCTGAGACTACTTCACAGGCAGTATATGGTCAATTTTTAAGGAGTTGTCAGAGTGAAAACTCAGTGGCAGTGTTTGTCATATTAAAAATATAGAAGCTACAGTTGTTCAGATGACTAAATTGGAACTTTTCTCCTGCATGTGTCTATATGTCAAATTGTCAGCATGACAAAAGTGACTGATGTGGCCGGGTGCCGGTGGCTCACGCCTGTAATCCCAGCACTTTGGGAGGCCGAGGTGGGTGGATCACTTGAGGTCAGGAGATCAAGACCAGCCTGTCAACATGGCGAAACCCCGTTTCGCTAAAAATACAAAAATTAGCCAGTCATGGTAGTGCAAGCCTGTAATCCCGGTTACTTGGGATGCTGAGGCAGCAGAATCGCTTGAACCCAAGAGGCGGAGGTTACAGTGAGCTGAGATCGTGCCACTGTACTCCAGCCTGGGCAACAGAGCAAGACTCCATCTCAAAAAAAAAAAAAAAAAAAAGACCGATGTTATTTTTGTATTTTTAAAAACCAATTTGTTGTATATAAAATTTCACAGATTGTGCAGATCACTTTTAAACTCACATAGGTCGGTGTCTTTACAGTGGTAAACTATGAAATGTCAGCGTTCAGCCAGATGGTATGATGGAGCAGCAGAAGTCAGAATTCAGTGAGGGGACACTGAAGGAACAGATAATGCTCCTGCTTTGCCTTGAAGTGTCATCAATTTGTAATTTCAGGGTTAACTGCAGAAGTGTCTGTAAGTACATTTTATATTAAGGACAGACCAAAAACCAACACATCAAAGCTTCAAAAACTTTGGGAAAGGGTGAGATTAAGAACAAGCACATTTGGCTTATAGTAAATGAACTGATTTTTATTAACTGCTTTTGTCCATATAAAATGCTGATATTTACTGGAAACCTAGCCACCTTCATAATTATGATAAAAGTGCCAGGTTATAATCCAGAAGATAATATGCAGGCAATAGCAGATATCTCTGACAAAGTATGTCTCAAAACTGATTATATATATATATATACACACACACACACGTATATATTTTTATTTATTTTTTGAGACAGGGTCTTGCTGTGTTGCCCAGGCTGGAGGGCAGTGCCATAATCTCAGCTCACTGCAACCTCCACCTCCTGAGTTTAAGTGATTCTCGTGCCTCAGCCTCCTGAGTAGCTGGGATTACAGGCATGCGCCACCACGCCCAGCTAACTTGTGTTTTTAGTAGAGATGGGGCTTCACCATGTTGTCCAGGCTGGTCTGGAACTCCCGACCTCAAGTGATCCACCTACCTCGGCCTCCCAAAGTGCTGAGATTACAGGCATGCGCCACCGTGCCTGGGTGCATTTATTTTTTAAACATTAGAGGCAGGGTCTTGCTATGTTGCCCAGGCTGATTTTGAACTCCTGGGCTCAAGCGATCCTCCTTTCTCAGCCTTCCAGGTAGCTGGGACTACAGTACAAATTTAATTAATTAATTAATTATTTGTATAGAGTCGAGGTCTCTCTATGTTGCCCAGGCTGGTCTTGAACTCCTGGGCTCAAGGGACCCTCCTACCTTGGTCTCCAAAAGTGCTGGGATTGCAAGTGTGAGCCACTGTGCCCGGCCTACAGTACAAATTTTAAATGGTTGTATCTTCCTGGTTAATTGACCTTTTATTATTATAAAGTGACTATCATTATCTCTGGTATTGGTTTTTGCCCTAAAGTCAATTTGATCTGATATCATTATGGTCAAACCAACTATCCTATTGCTAATATTTGCTTAGTACTGTATATCTACTTAGAACTCTACAGGACATTCTTTTTCTTGTTTAATACATTTGGAGTTACCCACTTATTGTTACCTATTTTACCTTTATTTTTTTTCTCCCAACTCGGACCCTTCATATGGGATCATTTTCCTTTTGCCAGAAATGCTTCTTTTATAATTTCCTATAGTGGATTTTGATCCTGGCAAACTCTCTTAGCTTTTATTTGTCTAAAAATATTTCCATTTTTCTCTCATTCTTAATAGACATTTTTTTAATTGACATAGAATTCAATATATTTGTTTTTCTTTAGCTTCACTATTTCACTTTTTATTTATATTTCTTAGGTTTTCTTCTTTTTCTTTTCTTTCTTTCTTTTTTTTTTGTTTGTTTAGAGACAAGGTCTCACTCTGTTGCTTAGGCTGGAGTGCAGTGGCTCAATCATAGCTCATCGCAGTCTTGAATTTCTGGGCTCAGGCAATTCTCCTGCCTTAGTCTCCTGGGTAGCTAGGACGGCAGGTGTGTGTCATCATGCCTGGCTAATATTTAAAAATATTTTATGTAGAGATGGGGTCTCACTATGTTGCCCAGGCTGGTCTTGAACTTTTGTCCTCAACAGATCATCTTGCCTCAGCCTCCCAAAGTGTGATTACAGGCATGAGCCATCACACCCAGCCTACATAACTAATACACATTATTTACTTGAATCTTATTTCTTCCTAGTAGGGTTCAGCTTCACTCACCTTGGTTACATGGATGTCATCACCTGAATGCTTTGTATCAACAATTGTTTTAAACATGAAAAGCAGTTGTAGTAAAATTAAAACCTTGCATTTCATTCCCAGATGTTCTATTAACTTAAGTTGTAGGGATAGCGGGGGTGCACCAAGATTCTAATGGGTTTAATATAATCAAAACACTTGTTCACTGTATGTTTATTGAGTTTCTCATTTAAATCAATCAATGGATTAATGCTTACATAATATTGCCATAAAATTTAGACTGCTAAATGACATGTTGATATTGATCCATTGATTGATTTAAATGAGAAACTCAATAAACGTACAGTGAACAAGTATTTTCCGTTGTCATCCTGTCCAGGCACAGTGGCTCACCCCTGTAATCTCAGCACTTTGGGAGGCCACAGCAGGAGGATCTCTTGAGCTCAAGAGTTCAAGACCAGCCTGGGCAACATAGGGAGACTTTGTCTCTACAAAAAAATTTTTAAAAAGTTGTCATCCTTTTAGTAGCCTGTCTATGAATGATAAGAATTTATATTCAGTAACTGTTTCAATATGTGACACAGCAGGAAGGCTGCCATCTGCAAGCCAGGAAGAGAGAACTCACCAGAAACCAAATCAGCTGGCATCTTGATTTGGACTTCCCTGCCTCCAGAACTGTTAGCAATAAATGTTGATTGTTTAAGCTACCCAGTGTATGGTATTTAGTTATGGCAGCCCAAGGAGACCAATATGTGTGAAATTTTTCATATTTAACTGAAGATTTAACTGTTAACTTGAGAATATTTTACTTAAGGAAAAGAAAAAAGAAAAACAAAGAACAAAAAACAAACAACTCCCCAGAGAGACTCTATGGAAATGTTGCAACTTCTAAAAAGGAGTTTAATTCACATATACAGTATATGGGATTCTTTATAAGATTATCATATTTCAATTTATCTGTGGATATGATGGCTCATAGGTTAGTCTGTGTTTAAAGGGTTTTCCATAATAAAACATATTTTCATTTTTATACCAACAAGAATAATTTCACATCCTGTAGGTCTCCAGTTAAAAAATGATTGTTATTTTCTTATACTACAATTTTTATCATTGAGTCTAACAATATGTAGGAAGCACTCTAAGAATAAAAATAAACACAATCATAGATGGTTAGAGTGGAAGCAAACCCCAGAAGTCATGAAACCCAAGCCTCTAACTTTACTGATGAGGAAAATGAAGTTCAGAGAGGCTTAGGGCTTGCTTATGGTTCTCATAGCTGGCAAGAAAAAAGATGAAGCTTAAAAGTGGGGCTCTGGGCCCCTAGTTCAATGTCCTTTCTACCACACTAAGCTGCCTCTTCGACAAGGTTTACAGCTTTTCCTCTTCAAATGACCAAGACAATACTTTAAAAGAAGCCATTTCATTAAGAGTACATTATAGTATATACATATTATAATACCTTTAGGAGGGTTAAATATATTTTGTTAAGTTTTTAAAAGCCATACTTTGTTACTGATTGTTAATATGGTAAATTAATAGAGCAGATGTCAAATCTTTATTTTAAAAGTTTAAAAAAACACTTTTGTATCATCCACATGCAGTTTAGCAACAGATATACATTTTTAAGCAAATTTTAGATACAATATGACAATTTTACCATCGACCAAATGTTTGACATTGGGATTCTACTTGTACTAGATAAGTTAGAAACTTCAGAAATATCCCAGGATATACAATATGTAATTGAAAATAAACTTACAGGACTCCAAGCATGGAATAGTACTTGGGTAGCCTTTACTTTATCTTCTGTCTTTATAACAGAGATTGACAACTAATGGAATACATGCTTAAAAGACTCACAAGCCAGGTGCGGTGGCTCACGTCTGTAATCCCAGCACTTTGGGAGGCTGAGGCGGGCAGATCATGAGGTCAGGAGATCGAGACCATCCTGGCTAACACGGTGAAACCCCATCTTTACTAAAAATACAAAAAAAATAGCCAGGCGTGGTGGCGTGCGCCTGTTGCCCCAGCTACTCGGGAGGCTGAGGCAGGAGAATGGAGTGAACCCGGGAGGCGGAGCTTGCAGTGAGCCCAGATCGTGCCACTGCACTCCAGCCTGGGCGACAGAGCCAGACTCCGTCTCAAAAAAAACAAACAACAACAACAACAACAAAAGACTCACAAGCTAACAATCTACATGGCATGGCCAGTGCTGTTGCAGGCCAAATTGTCAAGTGTCCAAGTTATTCTTCATCCCTTTCAAAATTTCTCCATCTTCTTTCTCAGTCTCTTTCTTAAATCTTGTCATATATATCCTTCGGTCACATCCAATTACCAAACAAAGAGAGATTACATGTGCACTATGTCTCCCACATAAAAATAAGTAAGACTGCATGAAAATTGGGCATGTTATCTCTGAAATGTCTGCAACAATTTCTGTAGAGAGAATTGGGCAAACCATTCAGAATACATTGAGGACCCTTCTGTATTATAGATTGCCAGCTCAATGGAAATATCTCTGCCTATCCTCCCAATTTTTTAAGTGGGCAGTTAGTCAAAATGCATACCTGCTTTTGTCTCTCACTCCATCCAGAGCTCAGGGTTAGGTCTTCACTGCCCTGTGTCCTCTACTCCAGGAGGTCTAGGTGATTCTGCCACAGCCTCAGCCTCCACCGCTCTGCGAACTGCTGGTTTTGGAAGATTCATAGCTAAGACTCCAGGGCACCCCTGAAGCCAAGAAATGGTGTCACTATCTCCAAGCCAGACCTGATCACCTGTCTGTAGCAAGAGAAAGAGCCCTGCAATGTGAAGAGACATGAGACAGTAGCCAAATACCCAGCCAAGGACCAAGATGGCTGACTCGAAGCAGCTGCGGTTCGAGGCTCCCACTGAGATGAACGAAAACGGTGAATGAATCCTACACTGGCAACTAAGGTATCCAGAATCTCTCATTGGGAATGACTAGGTGGTTGGCATGATCCACAGAAAGCGAGGAAAGGTAGGGTTGAGTGACAGCCCACCCGGGAGCCACATGGAGCAAGAGCAGCTCCCACCCCCAGCCAGGGGAGGTGGTGAGTGATTGTGCTACCTTGCCTGGGAAACCATGCTTTTCCCACAGATCTGTGCAACCCACAGATCAGGAGATCCCCTTGTGAGCCCACACCACCAGAGCCTTGGGTTGCAAGTACAGAGCTGCGTAGGTTCTTGTCAGCCGCTAAGATTACCAAGTTCCCAGGGGAAGGGGCAGCTGGCATTACTGCAGCTCCAGTCTGCTGTTTTCCCCTGCTGGTGCTGGGGAGACTGGGCGGTTTGGACCCAGGGGCAATTCCCCACAGCGCAGCACAGTGGCTGTGGAAGATCGTGGCCAGACTGCCTCTTTAGGCCAGACCTGGACCCATATCTTCTCACTGGGCAGGGCCTCCCTGTGGGAGCTTCAGCAATTCCAGCCAGGGTTTTATGGACAGAACTTTGATCTCCCTGGGATGGAACCCCTGGGGGGAGGGGCAGCCACAGTCTCTGCAGATCAGCAGACTTAGTCTTTCCCCCTGCTGGCTCTGTGGAATCTGGGCAGTCTGGGAGTGGGATAACCCCCAGCACTGTGCACCCTCTCTGCTAAGTGGCAGCTAGAGTGCTTGGTTAAGCAAGTCCCTGATCTCTTGCTTTCTGACTGGGTGAGACCTGCCCCCCATCCCAGCAGGGGTCATCAGACATTATACAGGAGCGTTTCTGCTAGCATCAGGTGAGTGCCCCTCTGGGACAGAGATCCCAGAGGAAGGAACAGGCATCCATCTTTGCTGTTCTGCAGCCTCCACTGGTGACACATCCAGGGGTGGGAAGAACCCAGAGGAATAAGGTCTAGAGTGGACCCCCAGCAAACTGCAGCAGCCCTGTGGAAGAGGGACCTGACTGTTAAAAGAAAAACGAACAAAGCAACAACAACAACAGCATCAACAAAAATGTCCCCACAAAAACTCCATCCAAAGGTCAGCAGCGTCAAAGACCAAAGCCAGATAAAATCAGGAAGATGAGAAAGAATCAATACAAAAATGCTGAAAACTCAAAAAGCCAGAAAGCCTCTTCTCCTCCAAATGATTGCAACACCTCTCCAGCAATGGCACAGAACTGGCCTGAGGCTGAGATGGATGAACTGACAGAAGTAGCCTTCAGAAGGTAGGTAATAACAAACTTTGCTGAGCTAAAGAAGCATGTTCTAACCCAATGCAAAGAAGCTAAGAACTATGAGAAAACATTACAGTAGCTGTTAACCAGAAGAACCAGTTTAGAGAGGAACATAAATGACCAGATGGAGCTGAAAAACACAATACAAGAACTTCACAATGCAACCGCAAGTATCAATAGCCAAACAGACCAAGCAGAAGAAAGAATTTCAGAGCTTGAAGACTGTCTTGCTGAAATAAGACAAGCAGACAAGATTAGAGGGGGAAAAAAATGAAAAGGAATGACCAAAACCTCTGAGAACTATGAGATTATGTAGAAAGACTGAACCTACGACTGATTGGGGCACCTGAAAGAGATGGGGAGAACAGAACCAAGTTGGAAAACATACTTCAGGATATTATCCAGGAGCACTTCCCCAACCTAACAAGGCAGGCCAACATTGAAATTCAGGAAATCCAGAGAACCCCAGTAAGATACTCCATGAGAAGATCAACCCAAGACACATAATTATCAGATTCTCCAAGGTCAAAATGAAAGAAGAAAGGTCAGGTCTCCTACAAAGGGAACCCCATGAGAATAACAGTGGACTTCTCAGCAGAAACCCTATAAGCCAGAAGAAATTGGGGGCCAATATTCAACACTCTTTTTTTTTTTTTTCAACATTTTATTTATTTTTATTTTTTTGATTTTTTAAATTTTTTTTTTTTTTTTGATCATTCTTGGGTGTTTCTCGCAGAGGGGGATTTGGCAGGGTCATAGGACAATAGTGGAGGGAAGGTCAGCAGATAAACAAGTGAACAAAGGTCTCTGGTTTTCCTAGGCAGAGGACCCTGCGGCCTTCCACAGCGTTTGTGTCCCTGGGTACTTGAGATTAGGGAGTGGTGATGACTCTTAACAAGCATGCTGCCTTCAAGCATCTGTTTAACAAAGCACATCTTGCACCGCCCTTAATCCATTCAACTCTGAGTGGACACAGCACATGTTTTAGAGAGCACAGGGTTGGGGGTAAGGTCACCAATTAGCAGGATCCCAAGGCAGAAGGATTTTTCTTAGTACAGAACAAAATGAAAAGTCTCCCATGTCTACTTCTTTCTACACAGACACGGCAACCATCCGATTTCTCAATCTTTTCCCCACCTTTCCCGCCTTTCTATTCCACAAAACCGCCATTGTCATCCCGGCCCTTTCTCAATGAGCTGTTGGGTACACCTCCCAGACAGGGTGGTGGCCGGGCAGAGGGGCTCCTCACATCCCAGTAGGGGCGGCCGGGCAGAGGCGCCCCTCACCTCCCGGACAGGGCAGCTGGCCGGGCGGGGGGCTGACCCCCCCACCTCCCTCCAGGACGGGGCAGCTGGCCAGGAAGAGGGGCTCCTCACTTCCCAGTAGGGGCGGCTGGGCAGAGGCACCCCTCACCTCCCGGACGGGGCGGCTGGCCGGGTGGGGGGCTGACCCCCCCACCTCCCTCCCGGACGGGGCGGCTGGCCGGGCGGGGGGGCTGAGCCCCCCACCTCCCTCCCGGACGGGGCGACTGGCCGGGCAGAGGGGCTCCTCACTTCCCAGTAGGGGCGGCTGGGCAGAGGCACCCCTCACCTCCCGGACGGGGCGGCTGGCCGGGTGGGGGGCTACCCCCCCACCTCCCTCCCGGACGGGGCGGCTGGCCGGGCGGGGGGCTGACCCCCCCACCTCCCTCCCGGACGGGGCGGCTGGCCTGGCGGGGGCTGACCCCCACCTCCCTCCCGGATGGGGTGGCTGCCGGGCGGAGACGCTCCTCACTTCCCAGACGGGGTGGCTGCCAGGCGGAGGGGCTCCTCACTTCTCAGACGGGGCGGTTGCCAGGCGGAGGGTCTCCTCACTTCTCAGATGGGGCGGCCGGGCAGAGACACTCCTTACCTCCCAGACGGGGTCACGGCCGGGCAGAGACGCTCGTCACTTCCTAGATGGGATGGCGGCCGGGAAGAGGCGCTCCTCACTTCCTAGATGGGATGGCGGCTGGGCAGAGACGCTCCTCACTTTCCAGACTGGGCAGCCAGGCAGAGGGGCTCCTCACGTCCCAGACGATGGGCGGCCAGGCAGAGACGCTCCTCACTTCCCAGACGGGGTGGCGGCCGGGCAGAGGCTGCAATCTCGGCACTTTGGGAGGCCAAGGCAGGTGGCTGGGAGGTGGAGGTTGTAGCGAGCCACGATCACGCCACTGCACTCCAGCCTGGGCACCATTGAGCACTGAGTGAACCAGACTCCGTCTGCAAACCCGGCACCTCGGGAGGCCAAGGCTGGCGGATCACTCACTGTTAGGAGCTGGAGACCAGCCCGGCCAACACAGCGAAACCCCGTCTCCACCAAAAAAGTACGAAAACCAGTCAGGCGTGGCGGCGCGCGCCTGTAATCGCAGGCACTCGGCAGGCTGAGGCAGGAGAATCAGGCAGGGAGGTTGCAGTGAGCCGCGATGGCAGCAGTACAGTCCAGCTTCGGCTCGGCATCAGAGGGAGACGGTGGAAAGAGAGGGAGAGGGAGACCGTGGGGAGAGGGGGACTGTGGGGAGAGGGGGACCGTGGGGAGAGGGAGAGGGAGAGGGAGAGGGAGAGGGAGACTCTTAAATAAAAAAATTTCCAATCCAGAATCTCATATCTGGCGAAACTAAACTTCATTAGTGAAGGAGAAATAAAATCCTTTTCAGACAAGCAAATGCTGAGGAAATTTGTCACTGCCAAGACTGCCTTGCAAGAGCTCCTGAAGGAAGCACTAAATATGGAAAGGGAAAAAATGTTACCAGCCACTACAAAAACACACTGAAGTACACAGACCAGTGACACTATGAAGCAACTACCTCAACAAGTCTGGAACATAATCAGCTAGCATCATGATGACAGGATCAAATTCACACATAACAATGTTAACCTTAAGTGGAAATTGGCTAAATGCCCCAATTAAAAGACACAGAATGGCAAGCTGGATAAAGAGTCAAGCCACATCAGTGTGCTATATTCAAGAGACCCATCTTATGTGCAAAGACACACATAGGTTCAAAATAAAGTGATGGCGGAAAATCTACCAAGCAAATGGACAGCAGAAAAAAGCAGGGGTTACAATCCTAGTTTCTGACAAAACCAACTTTAAACCAACACAGATCGAAAAAGACAAAGAAGGGCATTACATAATGGTAAAGGGTTCAATTCAACAAGAAGACCTAACTATTCTAAATATATATGCACCCAGTACAAGAGCACCCAGATTCATAAAACAAGTTCTTAGAGACCTACAAAGAGACTTAGACTCCCAAACAATAATAGTGGGAGGCTTTAACACCCAACTGTCAATATTAGACAGATCATCAAGACAGAAAATTAACAAGGATATTCAGGACTTGAACTCAGCTCTGGCTTAAGTGGACCTGATAGATATCTACAAAACTCTCCACCCCCAAACAATCGAATATAAATTCTTCTTGATGTCACATGGCAACTTACTCTAAAATCAATCACATAATTGGAAGTAAAACACTCCTCAGCAAATGCAAAAGAACTGAAATCATAACAAAAAGTCTCTTAGACCGCAGTGCCATCAAATTAGAACTCAAGACTAAGAAACTCACTCAGAACCACACAAATACACGGAAATTGAACAACCTGCTCCTGAACGACTCCCAGCTAAATTATGAAATTAAAGCAGAAATCAAGAAGTTATTTGAAACCAATGAGAATGAAGAGACAATGTACCAAAATTTCTGAGATGTAGCTAAAGCAGTGTTAGGAGGGAAATTTATAGCACTAAAGGCCCACATAAAAAAGCTGGGAAGATCTGAAATCAACATCTTAATGTCACAACTAAAAGAGCTAGAGAACCAAGATCAAACAAACCCCAAATCTAGCAGAAGACAAGCAATAACCAAGATCAGAGCAGAACTGAAGGAGATAGAGACAGAAAGAACCCTTCAAAAAAATCAACAACTCCAGGAGCTGGTTTTTTGAAAAAATTAATAAAATAGACTGCTAGCTAGACTTATAAAGAATAAAAGAGAGAAGAATCAAATAGACACAATAAAAAATGACAAAGGGGATATCACCACTGACCCCACAGAAATACAAACAATACTATACGAATACAAAAATACTATAAACACCTCTATGCAAATAAACTAGAAAATCTAGAAGAAAAGGATAGATTCCTGAACACATACACCCTCCCAAGACTAAGCCAGGAAGAAGTTGAATCCCTGAATAGACCAATAACAAGTTCTGAAATTGAGGCAGTAATAAATAGCCTACAGACCAAAAAAAGCCCAGGATCAGACAGATTTATAGCTGAATTCTACCAGAGACATAGAGAGGAGCTGGGACCCTTCTGAAAATATTTCAAACAATTGAAAAGAAGGAACTCCTCCCTAATTCATTTTATTAGGCCAGCATCATCCTGATACCAAAACCTGGCAGAGATACAATAAAAAAAAGAAAACTTCAGGCCAATATCCATGATGAACATCAATGCAAAAACTCTCAATAAAATACTGGCAAACAGAATCCAGCAGCACATCAAAAAGCTTATCCACCACGATCAAGTTGGCTTCATCCTTGGGATGCAAGGCTGGTTCAACATATGCAAATCAATAAACATAATTCATCACATAAATAGAACTAAAGACAAAAACCACATGACCATCTCATTAGATGAAAAAAGGCCTTTGATAAAATTCAACATCCCTTCATATTAAAAAGTCTCAATAAACTAGGTAGTGATGGAACACACATAAAAATAATGAGAGCCATTTATGAAAACCCATTGCCAATATCATACTGAATGGGCAAAAGCTGGTAGTATTCCCCTTGAAAACTGGCACAAGACAAGGATGCCCCATCTTACCACTCCTATTCAAGATAGTATTGGAAGCTCTGGCCAGGGCAATCAGGCAAGAGAAAGAAATAAAGGATATTAGAATAGGAAGAAAGGAAGTCAAACTGTCTCTGTTTGCAGATTTTATATCTAGAAAACCCCATTGTCTCAGCCCAAAAGCTTTTTTTTTTTTTTTTTGGAGACAGAGTCTTGCCCTGTCACCCAGGCTGGAGTACAATGGCATGATCTTGGCTCACTGCAACCTCTGCCTCCTGGGTTCAAGCGATTCTTGTTCCTCAGCCTCCCAAGTAGCTGGGACTACAGGTGTGTGCCACCACACCCAGCTAATTTTTGTATTTTTAGTAGAGACAGGGTTTTGCCATGTTGGCCAGGCTGGTCTTGAACCCCTAACCTCAGGTGATCCACCTGCCTCAGCCTCCCCAAATGCTGGGATTACTGGCATGGGCCACTACACCTGGCCACAAGCTTCTTAAGCAACTTCAGCAAAGTCTCAGAATAGAAAATCAATGTGCAAAATTCACAAGCATTCCTATACACCAACAACAGATAAGCAGAGAGCCAAATCATGAATGAACTCCCATTTACAACTGGTACAAAGAGAATAAAATACCTAGGAATACAGCTAACAAGAGAAGTGAAGGACCTCTTCAAGGAGAGTTACAAAACACTGCTCAAGGAAATCAGAGAGGACACAAACAAATGGAAAAACATTCCATGTTCAAGGATAGGAAGAATCAATATCATGAAAATGGCCTTACTGTCCAAAGTAATTTATAGATTCAATGCTAGTCCCATTAAGCTACCATTGACATTCTTCACAGAATTAGAAAAAACTACTTTAAAATTCATATGGAGCCAAATAAGAGCCCGTATAGCTAAGACAATCCTAAGCAAAAAGAGCAAAGCTGGAAGCATCACACTAACAGACATCTAACCACACTACAAGGCTACAGTAACCAAAACAGCAAGGTGCTGGTACAAAAACAGACACATAGACCAATGGAACAGAATAGAGAACTCAGAAATAAGACTGCACATCTGCAACCATCTGATCATTGACAAACCTGACCAAAAAAAGCAATGGGAAAAGGATTCTCTATTTAATAAATGGTGCTGGGAGAACTGGCTAGCCATATGCAGAAAATTGAAATCGGACCCCTTCCTTACACCTTATACAAAAATTAACTCAAGACGGATTGAAGACTTAAATGTAAAGCCCAAAACTGTAAAAACCCTAGAAGAAAATCTTGACAATACCATTCAGGACATAGGACTGGTCAAAGATTTCATGATGAAAATGTCAAAAGCAATTGCAACAAAAGCAGAAATTGACAAATAGGATGTAATTAAACTAAAGAGCTTCTGCACAGCAAAAGAAACTATCATCAGAGTGAACAGACAGCCCACAGAATGGGAGAAAGTTTTTGCAATCTATCCATCTGACGAAAGTCTAATATCCAGAATCTACAAGGAACTTAAACAAATATACAAGAACCAGAACAAACAACCCTATTAAAAAGTGGGCAAAGGATACGAACAGACACTTTTCAAAAGAAGACATTCACGTGGCCAACAAACATGAAAAAAGCTCAACATCACTGATCATTAGAGAAATGCAAATCAAAACTACAATGAATATCATCTCATGCCAGTCAGAATGGCGATTATTAAAAAGTCAAGAAACAACAGATGCTGGTGAGACTGTGGAGAAATAGGAATGCTTTTACACTGCTGGTGGGAATGTAAGTTAGTTCAACCATTGTGGAAGACAGTGTGGTGATTCCTCAAAGATCTAGAACCAGAAATACCAGTTGACCTAGCAATCCCATTACTGGGTATGTACCCAAAGGAATATAAATTATTCTATTATAAAGATACATATACACATATGTTTATTGCAGCACTATTCACAATAGCAAAGACACGGAATCAACCTAAATGCCCATCAGTGATAGACTGGATAAAGAAAATGTGGTACATATACACCATGAAATACTACACAGCCATAAAAAGGAACGAGATGTGATCACATCCTTCGCAGGGACACGGATGGAGCTGGAAGCCATTATCCTCAGCAAACTAATGCAGGAACAGAAAACCAAACACCACATGTTCTCCCTTATAAGTGGGAGCTGAACAATGTTGCCATTGCTTTTGGTGTTTTAGTCATGAAGTCCTTGCCCATGTCTGTGTCCTGAATGGTATTGCCTAGGTTTTCTTCTACAGTTTTTATGGTTTTAGGTCTAACATTTAAGTCTTTAATCCATCTTGAATTAATTTTTGTATAAGGTGTAAGAAAGGGATCCAGTTTCAGCTTTCTACATATGGCTAGCCAGTTTTCCCAGCACCATTTATTAAATAGGGAATCCTTTCCCCATTTCTTGTTTTTGTCAGGTTTGTCAAAGATCAGATGGTTGCATATGTGTGGTGTTATTTCTGAGACCTCTGTTCTGTTCCATTGGTCTATATATCTGTTTTGGTACCAGTACCATGCTGTTTTGGTTACTATAACTCTGTAGTATAGTTTGAAGGCAGGTAGCATTATGCCTCCAGCTTTGTTCTTTTTGCTTAGGATTGTCTTGGCAATGTGGGCTCTTTTTTGGTTCCATAGGAACTTTAAAGTAGTTTTTTCCAATTCTGTGAAGAAAGTCATTGGTAGCTTGATGGGGATGGCATTGAATCTATAAATTACCTTGGGCAGTATGGCCATTTTCACAATATTGATTCTTCCTATCCATCAGCATGGAATGTTCTTCCATTTGTTTATGTCCTCTTTTATTTCGTTGAGCAGTGGTTTGTAGTTCTCCTTGAAGAGGTCCTTCACATCCCTTGTAAGTTGGATTCCTAGGTATTTTTTTCTCTTTGTAGCAATTGTGAATGGGAGTTCACTCATGATTTGGCTCTCTATTTGTCTGTTATTGCTGTATAGGAATGCTTGTGATATTTTCCACATTGATTTTGTATCCTGAAATGACTGAAGTTGCTTATCAGCTTAAGGAGATTTTTTTTTTTTTTTTTTTTTTTTTTTTTTTTTGAGACAGAGTCTCACTCTGTCGCCCAGGCTGGAGTGCAGTGGCGCAATCTCAGCTCACTGCAAGCTCCGCCTCCCAGGTTCACGCCATTCTCCTGCCTCAGCCTCCCAAATAGCTGGGACTACAGGCGCCTGCCACCATGCCCAGCTAGTTTTTTGTACTTTTAGTGGAGACAGTGTTTCACCATGTTAGCTAGGATGGTCTCGATCTCCTGACCTCATGATCCACCTCAGCCTTCCAAAGTGCTGGGATTACAGGCGTAAGCCACCGTGCCCGGCCAGCTTAAGGAGATTTTGGCCTGAGATGATGGGGTTTTCTAAATATACAATCATGTCATCTGCAAACAGGGACAATTTGACTTCCTCTTTTCCTAATTGAATACGCTTTATTTCTTTCTCTTGCCTGATTGCTCTGGCCAGAACTTCCAACTCTATGTTGAATAGGAGTGGTGAGAGAGGGCATCCTTGTCTTGAGCCGGTTTTCAAAGGGAATGCTTCCAGTTTTTGCCCATTCGGTATGATATTGGCTGTGGGTTTGTCATAAATAGCTCTTACTATTTTGAGATACGTTCCATCAATACCTAGTATATTGAAAGTTTTTAGCATGAGGGCTGTTGAATTTTGTTGAAGGCCTTTTCTTCATCTATTGAGACAATCGTGGTTTTTGTTGTTGGTTCTGTTTATGTAATGGATTACGCTGATTGATTTGTGTATGTTGAACCAGCCTTGCATCCCAGGGATGAAGCCAACTTGATCGTGGTGGATAAGCTTTTTGATATGCTGCTGGATTCAGTTTGCCAGTATTTTATTGAAGATTTTTGCATCAATTTTCATCAGGGATATTGGCCTGAAATTTTCTTTCTTTTTTTTTTTTTTTTTTTTTTTTGAGATGGAGTCTTGCTCTGTTGCCCAGGCTGGAGTGCAGTGGCACCATCTCCGCTCACTGCAAGCTCTGCCTCCTGGGTTCACCCCATTGTCCTGCCTCGGCCTCCTGAGTAGCTGGGACTACAGGCGCCCGCCACCATGCCTGGCTAATTTTGTTTTTGTATTTTTAGTAGAGACAGGTTTTCACCATGTTAGCCAGGATGGTCTCGATTTCCTGACCTCATGATCCACCTGCCTCAGCCTCCCAGAGTACTGGGATTACAGGCGTGAGCCACTGCACCCGGCTGAAATTTTTTTTGTTGTGTCTGCCAGGTTTTGGTATCAGGATGATGCTGGCCTCATAAAATGTGTTAGGGAGGATTCCCTCTTTTTCTATTGTTTCAACTGAGGGGCGGTTGCAGTGAACCGAGATCACACCACTGCACTCCAGCCCGGATGACAGAGTGAGACTCTGTCTCAAAAAAACAAAACAAAACAAAAAACAAAACATGACTACCATGCATAATGAGAATTGACTGTATTTAGTGTACATTTTTTAAAAGATGAAATGAAGGGGAAATTATCTTCTGTTTTCCGTGTTGAAATACTTGAGTGCATCATTAGGAGCTATATGTTTATCTTATTCACAATAATCTTATGAATCTTAGTTTTCTTTTTATTTTTCTCCAGCTTTATTGAGTTGTAATTGACAAATAAAGTTGTGTCAGTTTAAGGTGTACAATATGTTGTGAAATGATGACCATGATCAAGTAAGTTAACATGTCTATCACTTCAACTAGTTATGGGTATTCTGAGTTTTGGTTTTCGTGGCGAGAACATTTAGCTACTAAGATTTTAATTATGCCTTAATATATTATCAATACTTTCAAAATAATAGGAAAAAAGGGGCCTCTTTGTAATATTTCTGAACTAAAAAGAATGCCTCGGGAGTGCAAGTTACAAACTCAAATGCCTGCAGGGCCAAGCAGTAATTTAGCACTGTCAGTCAGGTGTTTTGGAATCACCCCTTTGTGGAAGTTTCATTACCGGGCACTGCAATTTTCAGTGTTTGCAACTAAATTGGAATGATTTGTTACAGTGTTTGGGCCGGACAGAGTAGTAGGCCTATCAGTTTATGGCCTCTACTCTAGAATTTTGCCACTGCATATAACGTTGACTTTTTTCTTTTTTTTTTGAGACGGAGTCTCACTCTGTTGACCAAGCTGGAGTGCAATGGTGCCATCTTGGCTCACTACAACCTCCGCCTCCTGGGTTCAAGCAATTCTTGTGCCTCAGCCTCCCAAGTAGCTGGGAATACAGGCACATGCCACCACACCCAGCTAATTTTTGTATATTTTGTAGAGACAGGGTTTCGTCATGTTGCCCAGGCTGGTCTTGAACTCCTGGGCTCAAGTGATCCTCCAGCCTCTGCCTCCTAATGTGCTAGGATTACAGGTGTGAGCCACCACGCCCAGCCTCATGCTGACTTTTTAACATAGTTTTCTTCTCATTATCTTTTTTTTTTTTTTTTTTTTGAGACAGTGTCTCAATCTGTCACCCAGGCTGGAGTACAGTGGCATGATCTCGGCTCAGTGCATCCCCCGCCTCCCGGGCTCAAGCAATTCTCCTGCCTCAGCCTCCTGAGTAGCTGGGATTACAGGCATGTGCCACCACGACGCCTGGCAAATTTTTGTATTTTTAGTTGAGACGGGGTTTCACCATGTTGGCCAGGCTGGTCTCGAACTCCTGACCTCAGGTGATCCGCCCATCTCGGCCTCCCAAAGTGCTGGGATTACAGGTGTGAGTCATGGCACCTGGCCAGTAGTCGTGTTTCATAAGGTCACTGTGATCACTGAATTTTCTCACAGGAGAAATACAGGGTTAGAATCCTGAGAGCCTCTGTCCCAATATTTTTGTAAACTGATCAATACGTAGCCTTGTCTTATGTGTGGTTCTGTTTAAAGACACTTATTTAATACATGTTGTTCATTCATTAACTCTTGTTTTACAGGTAGTTCTGTTTAAAGACATCTTGGTTAATATATGTTGTTCATTCATGAACTCCTGGCCAACAGCACTCTCACACCCAAATGAAGCTTATCTCACACACATATTTTCTCTGTAAGGCACATTGCAACTTTCTTGTACTTGAAACACTAGATCGCCCTTCAAGCACCATGCTTGGGGGCCATTTCACAGGCAAAATCACCACCCAAACGCACAAAATAGGAACAATGTGGCACTAAATAGATTTTGTAAAGAACATTTGTTTGCAGTGGGAGAGTTGAAACAAGAAGGCAGCGTTGTCACCTTGTTTCAACTCAGCTGGGAATGTGCCAGGTGGGCAACTCAAATTTTTGCCACTCTTGAGCATATGTTTGTCCATGAATGACCAGGAAAGTGACCCAAGTTTTGTTTTTGAGATAGGATCCTGCTGTGTTGCCCAGACTGGAGTGCTGCAGTGAGAGCATGGCTCAAGATAAAACTTGAATGGGTAAGGAATTGCTTCCTACAGATGAGCAAAGAAAGTGGTTACTTTTTTCTTTTTTCTTTTTTTGAGACAGGGTCTTACTCTGTCACCCAGACCGGAGTGCAGTGGAGCCATCATGGCTTACTGCAGCCCTGACCTCATGAGCTCAAGTGATCCTCCTGTGTCCTGAATTTATTCCTTCCAGTGGGTTCTTGGTCTCGCTGATTTCAAGAATGAAGCTGCGGACCCTTGCCGTGAGTGTTACAGCTCTTAAAGATGGTGTGTTGGCTGGGCGCGGTGGCTTACGCTTGTAATCCCAGCACTTTGGGAGGCCAAGGCAGGCAGATCATGAGATCAGGAGATTGAGACCATCCTGGCTAACATGGTGAAACCCTGTCTCTACTAAAAATACAAAAAATTAGCCAGGTGTGCTGGCGGGCTCCTGTAGTCCCAGCTACTCGGGAGGCTGAGGCAGGAGAATGGCGTGAACCCGGGAGGCGGAGCTTGCAGTGAGCCGAGATCATGCCAGTACACTCCAGTCTGGGTGACAGAGCAAGACTCCATCTCAAAAAAAAAAAAAAAAAAAAAAAATGCTGTGTCCAGAGTTTGTTCCTCCAGATGTTCAAATGTATCCAGAGTTTCTTCCTTCCAGCAGGTTCTTGGTCTCACTGACTTCAGGAGTGAAGCCACGGACCTTCGTGGAGAGTGTTATAGCTCTTAATGATGATGCAGACCCAAAGAGTGGGCAGCTGCAAGATTTGTTGTGAAGAGCAAAAGAACAAAGCTTCCACAGCATGGAAAGGTACCCAAGCGGGTTGCCACTGCCGCTGCTGGCTCAAGTGGCCACCCTTTATTCCCTTATTTGGCCCTGCCCACATCCTGCTGATTGGTCCATTTTACAGAGCTCTGATTGGTCCATTTTACAGAGTGCTAATTGCTCCATTTTACAGAGGGCTGATTGGTGCGTTTACAAACCTTTAGCTAGACACAGAGTGCTGATTGGTGCATTTTTACAGAGTGCTGATTGGTGCAATTACAAACCTTTAGCTAGACACAGACTGCTGATTGGTGCATTTACAATCCTCTAGCTAGACAGAAAAGTTCTCCAAGTCCCCACCCGACCCAGGAAGTCCAGCTGGCTTCACCCCTCACTCCCACCTCAGCCTCTGGAGAAGCTGGGATTACAGGTGTGCAGTACCATGCCTGGCTAATTTTTGTAGAGTTGGGGTTTTACAACATTGGCGATATTACAGTTATGCTTTGATGTATTCACACAATAGAATGTCAAGGATAGTTTTCTTTAAGTCAACAGAATAATAAATTTTCTCATTCTGTCTGCTCAGCCATACATAGGCACAGCTTAGTTTAGTCTTTACATAGACAAGACCCCCGTATATGAAAAACTTAAAGACAGTGCCTTCCTCTGCTTGCTTCCTGAGGATGCCCTACTCTGTAAAGAAGTAGCTTTCAATAAAATATCTCCTTCTCACCCTTCCAGTGAGAGATCCAAGAACCCTCTCTGGGGGTCTGGATGGAGACCGCCTTTTCCAGTAACATTTTCACCTTCTCTTTAATAGAGCGACTGAACACAGGTGTTCTTCTAGGTAGAATCACCTTTCCAGGATGTCTTGGGCCCTTTACGGGTAACTCAACATAAAATTAGATCTACAGGTGCTCGGGGATCTGGAACCATGGAGGTGGCTCCTCACAGCTCCACTAACAGAGCCTGCAGGAGACCTGGGGTTGGCTGATGGCCACCCTCTGCCCCCTGCAGCATTCACTGGAGACAATGCCCTCTGCAGGCCATTCCCAACCAAGGACTGAACCCTGCAAGGGACTTAGACCCTGGCCATTCCTGCTGGACATGAGACTCCTCTCATGTCTACTCGTTGACCAAGACTTTATTAGGAGTTTTTTAGGGTTACTCTGCTGCTCTTGCTCCCTTTTGCCTCTATCCTCCCTCTTGTACATCTAATTCCATCTTGGCAGCTGCTTCTCAGATGACCCAGGCTACAACAGGACCCTAAATTCAGCTTTTAGATTTACAAGAAAATCTATAAATTCCTACAGTTAATTCCCTGGACCCCAGAACTTCAGGGCGATTAGCATAGAGGAGTGCATGAGCAGATAGGCTTGGATCGTCTGCTAACTGTGGGCTGTATGATTCAAGACTCATCAGAAGTTACCAACTGTCTAAACAGAACTTCTTCACTGATAATAATTCCTATATTAATAACATTTTCTCCTTTTGGTGTCTTCCTAAATCATTACCACAGAACCACTTACTTGTTTTTACAGTGGTCTAAGGATCAAACATTTTCCCTTACAGGAATTTACAAAAAAGTTCAACCTGTTCCTTCCTTCCTTCCTTTCTTCCTTCCTTCCTCTTTTTCCTCCTCCTTTTCTTTCTCTTTCTTTTTCTTTTTTCTTTCTTTCTTGCTCTCTTTCTTTCCTTCTTTTCCTCTTTTTTTCTTCTCTTTCTCTCTCCCTTCTTCTCTTTCTTTTCTTTTTCCTTCTTTCTTTTCACCTACCTTCCTTCCTTTTTCTTTCTTTCTTTCCCATAATACTTGCTGTCATTTAGAATCCCCAACCTGGCATTTTTAATTTCATGGTTGCATTAAAAAAATTTTTTTAAAAATATTTTCATCTTTCTTTGGCTCCCTGGTCAGAGGAAAGAATGAACAAGGTTGAATTTTGGACATCAAATTCTGTTTTTTTCTTGGTTGACTCTGTTGCAGATAAATAGATTTGAGATATCTGTTCCTCATTCATGCAACAGTTGCTTGATAACTACTATATGTAGGGAACTAGTTGCTGAAAGAAAGGACCAGATGAAAAAGAAATATATAGGAATTTCTGAGAAGGAAAGGGAGGATTACATTAAATACAATAGCTGTTAGTCTATTCAAAATGCTCAAAATATCTTAGACTGGGTGGCTTATAAACAATAGGAACTTATTTCTCACAGTTCTGGAGGCTGGGAAGTCCAAGATCAAGTTGCCAGCAGGTTTGGAATCTTGTGAGGGCCACTTCCTTCATTAAATGGATGTCTTGTCTTTGTAGCCTCATTTGGTGGAATGGGCAAACAAGAGGTTAGTGACCTTCCTCAGGCCCCCTTTGCAAGAGCACTAATCCCATTCTGGAGGGTGGGGCCCTGTGACCTAATCACCTCCCAAAGGCTCCACCTCTTAATCCTATCACAGGGGATTATGTTTTAACATATGAATGGTGCGGGGGGTGGGGGTGAGGGACACAGACATTCAGACCATAGCACTAACTTGCCTTGGTTATATTTCAACTCCATATAAAAAACCAGATACTTCCAAAACTGAGGCTGTGGCATATAAAGGTGACAATTCCATCTTTGTAAACAAAAACAACTAATTTTTGAACGTGCTACTCATTTTAGATAGATCAATCTGTGTCAGTGGGGTAATATTTTTCTTTTAAATCCCAAAAGAAAAAACATGCCCTTTATTGTAATATAATATAATTAAAGCAGAACAGAATTCACCAGAAGGAATCAGTATCATTAGATACTTCACTGTAACAGTAGCTTCTGAGATTTATGAATGGCATGATGATAAATCAGAAAGTGAGCGCTGGCTCCCTCTCTTTTTTAAAGTACATTATTTTTATTTTTATTTATTTTTGAGACAGGATCTCACTCTGTCACGCAGGCTGGAGTGCAGTGGTGAGATTGTGGCTCACTGCAGTCTTGACCTCCCAGGCTCATGCAATCCTCCTGCCCTCGTCTCCCAAGTAGCTGGGACTGCAGGTGCACATCACCATACCCGGCTAATTTTTTAATTTTTTTGTAGAGACGGGATCTGGCTTTGTTGCCCAGGCCGTTCTTGAACTCCTGGCCTCAAATGCTCCTCTTGCCTGGGCCTCGCAAAGTACTGGGATTACAGACTTGAGCCGCTGCTAACTCTGGCTCTATTTTATTCAATCCTAGGAAACTTTCATGAGATATAGCTAATTACAATCACTTATGCAGAGACAGAATCTATCATAATAGATGCTTCTATAAATAGTTCTAAATTGAGGACCAAAGAGGGGAAAGAGCATTAAAGAGAGAAGGACCAACCACAGTCTGACCCAAAAATATTTTTCCAAGAGAAGAACCTAAGCCATGGTCAGATAAGTTATCTGATTATTTTTCTCCATTGTGATACTCATAATATCATTTAAAATTATTATCAGTTTCTTTGCTACAAGCCTAACTGCAAAATTATTTAGAATAGTTAAGTGATAAGCACATAGTATAGGAAGGGCTCATTAAATGTTTGTGGTATCTTCTTTACCTTTAAAGATAAATGCTTGAATTAAAAGGATAAGCATGAATTTGGCCTTCTTTATTTTTGCTGTAAATTTACAACATAGGAAAAGCATGTGAGTATGAATGATACTAAAGTATTTATAATAAAGCTTATTAATTTTCTGTTCTTTAATCTACATATGATCATGCATAATAATGAATATCTTTAGGTGTGGAGGGCAGAGAATAGAGAACCAACCTAGGAAATTTATAGAGGCTGTTAAAGAAGACATCAACACAATCAATGCATAGATAATATTATTCAAATACATCATCAAAGGAAACTTGTCTGAGTTTCAAAAAAAAAATCTAAAGATACACAAAGTGCTCCCTGGATTCTAAGTGACACCCACTAAAAATAATTTTAATTACAAGGGTAAAGGGAAAAAAAAACTATCAGTATCTGGCAAAAACATGAGTTATTCTCAAAGGAAAGAAATCATTGCTTTCTCATTTTTTCTAGGACAAGAAAAATATCTTTTTAAACCCATATTCTTAACAAAGCAGTTCAGATGAAATATCTTTTTGTTTTTGGTGACCACTATGAAAACAAGCAAATGAAGAGAAAACCTGAACTTGCTAATGGTGTAAACCTTTAACAGGTAGGGACTCTGGGCAAAGATTATTTTAACTAAACAAATCAACATAAAGGCCATTATTGCCAGCTAACATGTTCAGTAATTGCAAGCATCTTTAAGAAAATTCACATTGAACAAAACCAGGAGGGTTTTCTTTTGATTTTTGCTTTTTTTTTAATTTTTTTTTTTTCTGAGACCGAGTCTCACTGTGTCACCCAGGCTGGAGTGCAGTGGCGCGATCTTGGCTCACTGCAAGCTCCGCCTCCCAGGCTCATGCCATTTTCCTGCTTCAGCCTCCTGAGTAGCTGGGACTACAGGCACCCGCCACCACGCCTGGCTAATTTTTTGTATTTTTAGCAGAGACAGGGTTTGACCATGTTAGCCAGGATGGTCTCGATCTCCTGACCTCGTGATCCGCCCACCTCGGCCTCCCAAAGTGCTGGGATTACAGGCATGAGCCACCATGCCCAGCCTTTTTTTTTTTTTTTTTAAATTAGAAAACACCCACATATGGCCAGACATGGTGACTCGTACCTGTAATCCCAGCACTTTGGGAGGCCAAGGTGGGCAGATCACCTGAGGTCAGGAGTTCAAGACCAGCCTAACCAACATGGTGAAACCCTGTCTCTACAAAAATACAAAAATTAGCTTGGCGTGATGGTGGGTGCCTGTAATCCCAGCTATTTGGGAGGCTGAGGTGGGAGAATCCCTTGAACCTGGGAGGTGGAGGTTGCAGTGAGCCGAGATCGTGTCATTCCACTCCAACCTGGGCCACAGAGTGAGACTCCGTCTCAAAAAACAAAACAAAACAAAACAAACAACCTATATTCAAATGCAAAGGAAAGAGGGAAAGACTTTTAAAAAGAAAAAAAAAGACCAACATATAATAAATTACGAATGTCATATGGCAGCAAGCTCTTCATGTTACTTTCCTTTCCATTTAGACCCAGTTAATGTATCTATATTACGTATGTTTAATGTGTATGGACACACACACACACACACACACACACACACACCATAAAAGATTAAGAAGTATGCCTAAATTTTAAGTGGTATGATTTATATTTTTTTCATACTTTTATTTTCTAAATTTTCCAGTTATTACTCTTAGAAAGTTAGAAAGTTAGAGACCAAAAAAACCAATTCCCTTATAATTATATATATATAATGATTCCCCAAAGCCTCTTATTTTGAGTTCTTTCTTTGTATTCATTTTCAGGCAATATTTATTGAGTGTCTAGTCTGTGCCTGAAATGTATTTTATATGAACTTCTCTTATAACAAGATGTTCTTATGTCTTATTTATATTCTCATAGTCTCCCCTGAACCTGATTATAAACAGCATTTTTCTTTTTCTTGTTTTTTCTTTTTCAATCATTTGTTGAATATCACCCATGTGTTGGTCACTCTTTTAGGAAGGCATTAAAAAGAAATGTGACAGAAAGTTAGCACTGTCCCTATTGCAGGGGAGAGATAAGCATGTAAATACCAAAACCGGGCCAAGAAGCTTGATATAGAAATGTGCACCATGCTACCCCACTCAAAGGAGAGAAAGAACTAACTATCAGAGAGAACTGGGGAGAAACTTTTCTACAGAGGTGACATTTCAACTAGGCCTTGAATGACAGGTCAAATGATCTTAGATGAAAAGGGAGGAGGGGGCTGGTGAGAAGGAAGAGGCTGGCAGGGGAGGAGGAGGCTGGCAGAAGAGGGGGAGACTGGCAGGGAAGAGGGGGGTGGCAGGACAGAAGGTTGGCAGGGAGGAGGAAGCTGACAGGAGAGGAGGAGGTTGGTAGGGAGAAAGAGGCTGGCAGGAAGGAGGAGGCTTGCAGGGAGCAGGAGGCTGGCAGGAGAGGAGGAGGTTGGCAGGGAGAAAGAGGCTGGCAGGAAGGAGGAGACTTGCAGGGAGGAGGAGGCTGGCAGGAGAGGAGGAGGTTGGCAGGGAGGAGGAGGCTGGCAGGAGAGGAGGAGGTTGGCAGGGAGGAGGAGGCTGGCAGGAGAGGAGGCGGCCGATGGGGGAGGAGGAGGCTGGCAGAGAGAAAGAGGCTGGGCAGGGAGGAGGAGGTTGGCAGGGAGGAGGCGGCTTGCAGATGAGAAGGCTGGCAGGCAAGCGCTGCGGGCGACCGTGGGTGGTGGGCGGGTTTTCCCCTCAGGCAGGTGCAGGTCCTAAGGGGGCGGGCCCCGTTGGGTGCTCATGACGCAAAGGTCCCTAGGATTTGCTCCTCACAGCGGGAGCGCCCTCGAGAGGAACCGCGTCTGCGCCTCCCGAGACGGACCACTCGGGCGCCTCCGCCCCGCGCCCTGCCTCGGGGGCCGCCCCGCGCAGTGAGCTCAGCGTGGAGGCGGCAGCGCCCTCGCCCTTCCGCGCCCTCCCAGCGCGGTCTCTCCTCGTCCGCGCGCCCCGCTCCCCAGGCGTTTCTGGGATGCTGGTTGGCCGGGCACTTACGTGTTTCAAAGCGGGTGACAGCCGCCGCTCGGGTGTACTGTTCGCTCTCTCCCGCCAGGATCCGAGTTCTTGTTCCCCGACAACTCGTGGGAGTGCCCGCTCCAGCGTGGTTTCTCCTTCTCCGGGAACGGCCCCAGTGAGCAGAAGAGCTGGGTCTGGATTGCATGGCTCTGTCTCCCAGCCATGGTTGACTAATTTAGGGACACTCATGGCTCTGGACTCCTGCAGCCAGCCAGACGCCTGTCTTTGGATTTTTGACTTGGATGAGAGCCCTGTAGCTGGAGGTTGTGGTTGAGAGGGGAGTTTAGTCACATGATGGCAGTGCCTACAGAGATCTGGGTAGGAGGTTCTGCTGCTGTGGCCCCCTCGGTGATGCTGTGCTCAGAGGCCCCTGAGGGTGATGTGAGATGGGGAGGGAGCTGAGGGATGTAGGTAGTCAGTGACTGCTGAAAGAAGAGGAATGTTAGCATTTCTGGGTTAGGTGGTTGCTTCTGATGGCACTGAGACAGGCAAATCCCCAAATTACTGATCTAGACAAAATGGTCTTAGTCAGAACGATTTTGTGACTCTTCTGAATGAAGCTCTCATTGCCCGTGGCCAAACGCTGAGATGAAAATGCAGTTCAGAACCGATTTTGTGGATTTCTTAAGTCGAATACCAGTTGAGCTCACAGCTCAAGCAGATTTCTTTGATGAACATCAAAGTTGCAGATTGTGTTTCCAAAGATGACTACAACAATCCCCCCCAAACGACAGGATTTTTTGCAATGTCCCCTTGCCAGTCAAAAGAGGGGGAGTCTACTTCTCCTTCCTTTGAACCTGGGCTGTCCCTGCAACCACCTTGATAGTAGAATGAGGCAGAGGTGACATTCCGGGGGCAGCCAAGACCAGGCATTAAGGAGACTCCAGCAGCTCCCGTTTTTGTGTTCTGGTGGAAGCACATCGCCATAGAAGTCTCCTTACCGCTGAGGCAGGAGAATAGGGTCTGGAGGCAGGGAACTTAAGCCCAATTCATGCCGACTTCCTAAAGCTGAATCAAGGGAAAACACCAAGGTCTGGGGGCAGGACTCTGAGGCCAATTCACGATAATTTCCCAAAGCTGGACCAAAAGGGGAGCACCTGTGTCTGGGGCAGGGAACCAAAGAACAATTAATGCCAACTTCCTAAAGCTAAACCAAAAGAGAAAACCCCAGCTCCCCACGCCCAGTAACAAAGGATCAAAGGCCACTCTCCCTACAGCCCTCCGGCTTCCACCACAGCTCAGATGGAAAGGGAGAGTGCCCTGGATTGGCCGCGGGCCGAGCAGGGGCCATGCCTTCATCTGCCTAGGGCTCTAATTCACCCCAGCCTGTAATTAGCCACGGACCAAATCCTTCATCCAGATCAGGGGTAACTGATAGGAATCTCCAAAGGAGGGCTTAAAACCCAGAAAACTTTGTAACTGGGCCCTTAAGCTGTGTGCTTGGGCCCACTCCCACCCTGTGGAGTACTTTCTTGCTTTAATAAATATCTGCTTTCATTGCTTCCTTCCTGTATTTCATTCCTTTGTTACTTTGTGCATTTCGTTCGAGCAATGACTCATTCTGTCGCCCAGGCTGGAGTGCAGGGGCATGATCACGGCTTACTGCAGCCTCAACTTCCTGGGATCCAGTGATCCTCCCACCCCAGCCTCCCGATTAGCTGGAACTATGGGTGTACACCACCACGCCTGGCTAATTTTTTTTGTGTGTGTGTGGCTTATTTTTTTTTTTTTTTTGGTGGTTTATTTTTTTATTTTTTTGGTGGTGGTGGTGGGGGGCAGGTCTCACTATGTTGCCCAGGCTGGTCTCGAATGCCTGGCCTCAAGTGATCCTCCTGCCTTGGCCTCCCAAAGTTTTGGGATTACAGGTGTTTGCCACCAAGCCTGGCTGGCCACATGATTTGATTTGGGTGATAAACTACAAGCAGATGTGTTGTACAGCTGCCCAAGTGGCCCCTGCTCTTTGGCCTGTGTCCTAGAATGAGAGACATATGGAGCCACCACAGCTGATCGGCTGAACAGTGGGCAAGAAATGTTTATTGTTATAAGCAACTGAGAGTGAGATCTGAGGGTTGTTACTGCTATAAAAACTGAGTAATAAGCCTGGCCAACCAAGTATCACCTGAATTCTTCCTACAGTGAAATCTTTGCCATTTCCTAATGTGCTACCCTTGCAGCCGAAACCTCAAAATCCTTCCTGTGTCCCACTGTTTGTCAAGTGGTAGATTCTAAATCAAAATAAACTGAAAGGTGTTAGGCATCAGAATAGAAAAGAGCTACATTGTAGAATTGCAGTTTATAGAAATGTGTTCACTGTATTGCCTAAAGTCTGGGGAAATTTTTACAGGCCAAGTTTGTAAGAATTCCTGGAGCCCAGGAAGTTGAGGCTGCAGTAAGCTGTGATCATGCCCCTGCACTCCAGTCTGGGCAACAGAGTGAGACATTGCATTGAACAAAACGCACAAAGTAACAAAGAAATGAAATACGGGAAGGAAGCAATGAAAGCAGATATTTATTAAAGCAAGAAAGCACTCCACAGGGTGGGAGTGGGCCCAAGCACACAGTTTGTAACTGGCCCAAGCCCGGTACAAAGTCTTCTGAGTTTTACACAGAAACTCTCTGCGCTGTCTTCACAACTTTTCTGTAAATCTTAAACTATTCTAACATTTTTAAAAGTTTATTAAGAGAAAAAACCCAGGCTTTAGATTCTGGAGCCTATACTTTTAACCACTGTGCTATACTCTATCTCTAGACCCCTGGTCCAAGGGAAGCTCGGAGGAGTTGACAAACACTTGTTTCCTAGGTCCCCAGAATGGTCCTCATTCCTGCCCATGACAAAAACTGATTGTTTAGACTTTGCTTTGTTTATCTGACATTCTGTAGTGTTTGTTCAGTGCATCTCCCTTGTTATTTTAATTAGACAAAAATCTATTACTTACGACCTAAAAACATCAGCAGGGGCAGCAGCATCAATTACACCCAACACTTAACACACTCACTGTAAATGGGTCCTGTTCTAAACATTTTACACGTATTCATTCATTTGATCCTCCTGAGAACGCTGTTAGTGATAGGGACAGGAGGCAGAGAAATTCTAAGCAGAAAAGGGCAGAGTCCCTGGAGAAGCCCCACCCTCAAGCTTGGAACCATGGCCTAAAGTGAGATTCTTGTTTTCCCGCTCAAATATTGCCTTTTCCAAAACCACACATGGCCTGCCACACCCCCAATCCTGTACCCATTAAAAACCCCTTACCGTACTGGCAGAGAGCAGAGAAGGGGAGAAGAGGAGAAGCAGCTGGACGTTGGAGACTGTGGTCTGATGTCAGAGACAAGCAGCTTGACTTCAGAGGGATGGTTTTGAGAGGTGACAACGTGCTGGTGGCCCTCACTCGCTCTCAGCGCCTCCTCGGCCTTGGCATCCGCTCTGGCCACGCTTGAGGAGCCCTTCAGCCCACTGCTACACTGTGGGAGCCCCTCTCTGGGCTGGCCAAGGCTGGAGCCGGCTCCCTCTGCTTGAGAGGAAGTGTGGAGGGAGAGGCGCGGGTGGGAACCGGGGTTGGGCGGGAACCGGGGCTGTGCAAGGCGCTCACCGGCCAGCGCGAGTTCCAGGTAGGCATGGGCTTAGCGGGTCCCGCACTCGGAGCGGCTGGCCTGGGACAGTGAGAGGCTTAGCACCCGGGCCAGCAGCTGCGGAGGGGGTGCCGGGTCCTCCAGCACTGCCAGCCCACCCACGCCGCGCTTGAATTCTCGCAGGGCCTCAGCCGCCTCCTGGCAGGGCAGGGCTCAGGACCTGCATCCTGCCATGCCCAAGCCCCGCCCCCCCCCCCCCCCCCCCGCCCCATGGTGGGCTCCGGCACAGCCTGAGCCTCCCTGAGGGGCACCACCCTGTGCTCCATGGCGCCCGGTTCCATGGACCGCCCAAGGGCTGAGGAGTGCAGGCCAGCGGTGCGGGACTGGCGGGCAGCTCCGCCCGCGGCCCTGGCGTGGGATCCACTAGGCGAAGCCAGCTGGGCTCCTGAGTTGGGTGGGGACTTGGAGAACTTTTATGTCTAGCAGCAGGATTGTATATGCACCAATCAGCACTCTGTGTCTAGCTCGGGGTTCCTGCATGCACCAATCAGCACTCTGTATCTAGCTAATCTGGTGGGGACTTGGAGAACCTTTATGTCTAGCTAAAGGATTGTAAATACACCAATCAGCACTCTGTGTCTAGCTCAAGGTTTGTAAACGCACCAATCAGCACCCTGTGTCTAGCTCAAGGTTTGTAAACACACCAATCAGTGCTCTGTGTCTAGTTAATCTAGTGGGGACTTGGAGAACTTTTACGTCTAGCTAGAGGATTGTAAATACACCAATCAGCACTCTGTGTCTAGCTCCGGGATTGTAAACGCACCAATCAGCACCCTGTCAAAACGGACCAATCAGCTCTCTGTAAAATGGACCAATCAGCTCTCTGTAAAATGGGCCAATCAGCAAGATGTGGGTGGGGTGAGATAAGGAAATAAAAGCAGGGTGTCCAAGCCAGCAGCGGCAAGCTGCTCTGGTCTCCTTCCATGCTGTAGAAGCTTTGTTCTTTTGGGGTTCACAAGAACTCTTGCTGCTGCTCACTCTTTGGGTTCTACACTGCCTTTATGAACTGTAACACTCACGGTGAAGGTCTACAGCTTCACTCCTGAAGCCAGTGAGACCCCTAACCCAGCGGGAGGGACGAACAACTCCAGATAGAAGAAACAAACAACTCCAGACACGCTGCCTTTAAGAGCTGTAACACTGACTGCAAAGGTCTGCAGCTTCACTCCTGAAGCCAGTGAGACCACGAACCCACCAGAAGGAAGAAATTCTGGACACGTCTGAACATCAGAATGAAAAAACTGTGGACACACCATCTTTAAGAACTGTAACACTCACGGCGAGGGTCCATGGTTTCATTCTTGAAGTCAGCGAGACCAAGAACCCACCATTTCCAGACATAGTTTGACGGTGTTGCTTCAGAGAGGAGTCTGGCCAGGGATGACCAGACTCCAGGGGAAGATCACCTTTGTGCTCCAGTCCCCTTCCAACTCCCCTTCCTGCCGAGAGCCACTTCCATCAGCAATAAAATCCTCCACATTCACCACCCTTCAATTTGTTCATGCAAACTGATTTTTCCTGGAAACTAAACAAGAGCTTGTGTACCAGGGGTGTGGACACTAAAGGCTGTCATACTGACCCTCTGCCCTCGCTGGCAAAGAGCAACTGCCTCCAACAAAAAGGCAGAGAGCCCACTGAGCTGTTTACCACCTAAGCCATCCATGGACAGCAGAGTTAAAAGAGCACTGTAACACATGCCCTCTGGGGCTTTGGGGATCGTGGATACTCCTCCCTACATGCTGTCTTGGGGCCTATGTGGAGTTTTGCTCCTGCTGCCACCCAAAAGTGCTCACTCTGGCTCCTACACCCGCTCACCTGCATGCTCCCCCTCTCATGAGGGGTTGAGAGCTGCAGGCTGAATAAGCGAGGCATCCGTGTCACGAGGCCTGTTAAGGGGTCAAGGAAAATTTCCTGTTTCATTAGGTAGGTGTTACTGTCTTCCCATTTTACAGGTGAAGCAACTCATGCACGAATAAATTAACTTCCCAAGGTTACTTATCTAGTAAATGGCAAACCCAGGAGATCTGGCTCTGGAGTCTGATTCTCTTGCCTACCTGCCGCACTGCCCTCTCTAAGGAATTTCAATGATAGATCTCAGACCTGGATTGGATGCCTTCCTTTCCTTATGTTGTCAAAACTGTGCTCCCCTTCTGAGCTTTTCCAGGGAGCATGAGGCTCTGATCTCTGAATGTTATGGTCATCTTCTGACTATCTGGGGACATTTACTTTGAGAGCACACAGAGATATAGCTTTTGGAATTCTCCATGCTGCATGTAGGTTTATAAACCAATACCCTGCTCAGACACCGCGTTCTTCTAACACCCTAATGATGGGGTCACATTTCTCTCTTTAGGTACTACAATCTGGTTTTGAAGTTGCCCAAAGAAACTTGAATGGCTTCCTCTTTCATTCCCACAAGGCTCTGAAAACACTGCTGCTGATCCGCTGTCTTCACTCCTATCTCACCCTGGCATAACTGCACTCTACTCAAACTCTATCTGGAAGGAGCAGAGCTCAGGGGTTCTGACCCCACAGAATGGGCTCCAGGCACTAAGAGCTGAACAACACAGAACACCTGTTCCATGTCGAGTTGGTTATCATTTTATACTTTTCTAAAAACCTCAAGGAAGATCTTCAACATAAGCCCTGGCATAAGACATTTTCTATGTATTCAAAATAAGAAAAGGAAATGGTGAATATATTGACAAGTAGCAATTTGAATTATAATGACAATTCTTTAGGATTTTATGTAGCTTGCATATTTAACATTTAAATATATTGTTCTAGGAATTGGCTGATAAAACTAGAAAATAAAGAGAAATTATGATCACCATGTGTTCACTCTTCAGACTTTGATCTATGAATCAGCTCACTGAGAGAGATACTTGAAAACTTCTCTTGGTTTCTTCTAATCCATCTTTGGAATGTCCTCCACGGATGGATGCCTTGCAGTTGAAACATAAATGCTATAAAAATTAATCCCCCTAGCACTACCGCTGTTGCCACGGCAATAAGCGTGTGTCCTGGGAATGGCAATGGTGCCTCATCAACATAAATCTGCAACAGAAAAAGCAAAGTCTTTAAGCTTTCTGAATTTAGCAATGCAAAACACTGAAAATTTAATGTTCCCCACAATTAATCGGAGAGCAAAACGCTGCCCAGAGTTACAAAGACATTCAGCATCCACAAAGCTTGGAAACAGTCTCTTGACAGTTGAACAAGTAACAATTTGCCTACAATAAATAGGGGCTAAGAAGTCCATGTATTATCCTATGCCTTTACCCTGTCTTTAATGGTGGAAGGAGGCAGATAAAATGCTTATACAGCAGAACATTCTCTGTTCAGTCTCAGAGGAATGGGCAAAGAGCTCTGGGAATGTGGAGGAGGGAATGCCTACCTGCCTAGGGCAGTCAGGGAATGCGCTTTCTGAGCTGGATCATGACGAATAAGTAGGTTCACAGAAGAGAAGGAGATAAAGGAACATTCCAGGTAGAGGCATATGTCTGTGCTCTTTCAAGTTACCACCTCTTTAGAAAATCCTCTTTGTAGGTGCTGCCAGTATAGGTAACTTTTTATGTATTCAAAATGTTTCCTCTGCATGAATAGCTAATTAACAGAAGCAAGTAAATTTCTGGAGGACAGATAGGATTATTGACAGAGAGGGACAGTGATGTCTTTTTCTCTGAGATGTGAGGCAAGGGTGGGGTCATTGTATGTTAAATATAGAAGTGGGGCATAAAGAGAGTAGGGGGTTCAAGCCCAGGCTTATGTTTCCTTTGTGAAGCAGGAAGCCAGATCGTCTTTTGTGGGAGAAGAACGTGCTGATGAATGGAACTAGGACAGTAGGGAATGTGGGAAAGTGCAAAGGACAAGAAAAAGGATGACAGGCTGCTTTAAGGTCTAGCTCAAGTTAAAGGTACCACCATCCTCCCAGTGACCCAAGGAGGTAGCTGATTTCTTAGAAACAGTCCCTCCATGCTATACATTCTCTAAAATTCCCCTCACATTCATTCTTTCCATTCTTTCAGTACTGCTACTGTGATTATTGTGCCACTTTTCATAAATAGGCTACTCTAGTAGCCTCCTTCCCAGCCCACCAGTCCGTGTTGACATCCTAACATTGCCAGATTTATCTTTGTATAAAACACCAGTCTGTGTATAAACACCTTTTTCCAAAAATGTTTAATAGCTTTTCATTGTTGACAGGAATGTTGACAGGAATGTTGACAGGAGTGTTCTAAAGCTTTCACTCTGACATTCAAAGCCTTCCACAATTGGACCCTAACCTACCTGGCTTTCTTCTAAATAACCTTATATTCCAGCCAAATGGATTTGAGCTATTCAAAAAGCAAACTTTATGCTTTTGATTGTGACAGGAGGCAGTCAAATGCCTAGGCAGATAGGGGTGGGTCGCCGGTGAAACCTGACCTTCAAGCTGAAGGCAGTCCCAGGTAAATCCACATACCGAATTCAGAACCTGTCTTCCTGTTTGGCGTGCTTTCCTCTGACTGATCCCACCCTTCAACTGTTTTACATATACCTACCCTTCCTAATTGGTTTTCTACACTGCTGTGCCCACCTTTGAGTGGTACCTTTGCTTTAGCCTTTCTTTGCTTACTCATAAGCCAGTCAGCACACTCTCCCCTATTCTGAGTGCATAAAGGCCCCACTCAGCCACACTGGCAAAGAAACCACCTGACTGCAGGGGTGAGGGACCACACCCTACGTCCCCTGTCTGCTGAGAGCTGTTCCATCACTCAGTAAAATTATTCTTTGCCCTCCTCACTCTTCAATTGTTAGTGTTTCCTCATTATACTTGGATGCAGGACAGGAACATGGGTACACACTACAACATAGTTGGGACAAGTGGGCAGGGTGCCTCCAGTGGCAGGCTCAGGGCTGAGCAAGGCCCAGGTGGAGGATGTCACCAGCTGTGGAGGTCCCCGGTTGGCAAAGTGGCCAAGAAAAGTCCTGCATCACTTTCCCATATCTGTACCTGGTCTCTCCATCCAGAATGCCTTCCTTGTTCATTTCTGCCTAATGAAATTTCAGTCACTCCACCAGATGATGTAAAAATTTCACTTGTGGCTGGGCACGGTGGCTCATGCCTGTAATCCCAGCACTTTGGGAGGCCAAGGCGGGCAGATCACGAGGTCAGGAGATTGAGACCATCCTGGCTAACATGGTGAAACCCCATCTCTACCTAAAATACAAAAAATTTAGCCAGGCATGGTGGCGGGTGCCTGTAGTCCCCGCTACTCGGGAGGCTGAGGCAGGAGAATGGCATGTACCCGGGAGGCGGAACTTGCAGTGAGCCGAGATCGTGCCATGGCACTCCAGCCTGGGCAACAGAGCGTGACTCCATCTCAAAAAAAAAAATTTTCACTTGCTTATTTAAGCCATTTATTATATTTCTAAGATTAGAAACGTCTATCACCTCTGAATTCTGTATTCTCCACCTAAATTGCTACCTCTAAAGTTCTGAAAAACACTTTTTCTTCAAATGTTTCCCTTCTAATCTTCTTCAACCATCCAAATATTCCACACCATTTCTAAAAAACGTTAGACCTCAGAATTATGAGTCTGTTTTAGATACAATGTCTATTTACTCCTAAAATACTTTAATTTGTGTTTTTAAGCACAAAAATTCACTTAAATAACCACAGTGCAATGATCAAAGTCAAGAAATTAACATTAAGACAATACTATTCTGTAATTACAGATCTTACTCCTTTTTTTTTTCTTCAGTTATCCCCATAATGTATTTTGGGTGAAAGAAAATCCAAGCTTATGGGTTGTGTTTCATTGTTTCAGGATTCTCCTTTCTCCTCCCCTTTCTTTTCTTGACGGAGCTTCACTATGTTACCAGGCTGGAGTGCAGTGGTTATTCACTGGCATGTTAATACTGGACTGAGGCCTCAAACCCCTGGCCTCAGAGGATCCTCCCTCGGCCTCCCAAATAGCTGGGGTTACAGTCATGTGTCACCAGGTCTGGCTATTTCAGGGTACTTTCTTTTTTTTCCTTTTTTTTTGAGACAGAGTCTCACTCTGTCGCCCAGGCTGGATGAAGTGCAGTGGTGCGATCTTGGCTCACTGCAATCTCTGCCTCCTGGGTTCAAGCAATTCTCTTGCCTCAGCCTCCTGAGTAACTAGGATTACAGGCATGCACTACCACACCTGGCTGATTTTTGTATTTTTAGTAGAGATGATGTTTCACCATGTTGGCCAGGCTGGTCTCGAACTCCTGACCTCAAGTGATCTACCCATGTCGGCCTCCCAAAGTGCTGGGATTACAGGCATGAGCCACCATGCCCAGCCTATTTCAGGGTACTTTCAAAAGCAGGTTCCGACAGTCCCAAGAAGCTTTATACACTTTCTCTATATTTTCTTAACAATTCTTTTCCTTCATTAATGGTGCAGTCACACCTATCTTTTATCCATTTTTGTTCTTCCTCCATTCCTGAAGCTTCAAGGTTCCTGCTGTTATCACTTTTCTTCTGTTTGAATAACTTCTTTAAGCATTTTCAAAAGAGAAGTTCTCCTGACAATGGATTCTCTTAGTTTTCTCTCATTTGAGAAAGTCTTGATTTTTTATTCCTGAAAGATATTTTCAGTAGATAGAGAATTCTGGATTGACAATCCTTCCTCCCCACTCAACCCTCACCCCTAACACTTTAAAGATGTTGTATAACTTTCTTTTGCCTCTGTGGTTTCTGTTGAGAAATCAGCAGTCATTCAAACTGTACCCTTGTATATACAGTGTTGTTTTTCTCTGACCACTTTTAATATTTTATGATCTTGATTTTTGGTAGTTTGATTATGATGTGTTCAGGCATGGTTTTCTCTATCTTTATCTTGTTTAGGGCTCATTAAGCTTCTTGAATATGTAAACTTACGTCTTCACCAAACTTGAGGCTTTTCCGTCTTTATTTCTTTCCTTTCTTCTTCTTCTTCTTCTTTTTATTTTTATTTTTTATTTTTTTTGAGACAGGGTCTCATTCTGTCACCCAGACTGGAGTGCAGTGGCATGATCTCAGCTCACCTTAGCCTTGACCTCCCAGGCTGAAGCAACCCTCCCACCTTGGCCTCCAGAGTAGCTGGAACTACAGGTGTGTGCCTCCATGCCTGGCTAATTTTTTTGTATTTGTAGAGACAGGGCCTTGCCATGTTGCTCAGTTGGTCTTAAATTCCTGAGCTCAAGCGATCCACCCACCTTGGCCTCCCAAAGTGCTGGGATTTTTTTCCCCATACCAGTCTTTTTCTCCTCTCCTTCATGGACACTGATAACATAAATGTTAGACCTTCTGATACTGTCACACAGATCCCTGAGGCAAGATCTTCTTCTTCTTAAAATACTTTTTCTTCAGGTTGGGTTTCCACTGACTTGCTTTCAAGTTCACTGATTTTTTTCCTGTTCCATATCCATTCAGCAATTGAGTCCTTTTGGTAGTTTTTAAATTTAAATATTATAGTTTTTAGTTCTAAAATTTCCATTTTGTCCTTTTTAAGTAGCTTCTAGATCTCTGCTTATAATTGATCATTTTCTACTTATTTCAAAAGTGTTTACCTGTACTGCATGGAGCATGGTTATAATAGCTAGTTTAGAATATTTGATAATTGCATTTGTGGTCCTTTGTTGATGTCTTTTCTCTTCAGAATTGATTATATTGTCTTGGTTGTTGATATGGTGAATAATATCAGATTGTATCCTGGTGAATAATGGTGAGTAATATCAGATTGTATCCTGGTAAATATGGTGAATAATATCGGATTGCATCCTGGACATTTTTGATGTTATGTTGGGAGATTCTGGTTCTTGTTTAAAAGTCATCTGGAAAATGCTGATTATTTATTTGTTTGTTTTTAGCAGTCAATCACACTGGTTGAGTTCAGGTCACAAGTTATGCCTCACCTTCTGTGTGGGTGGTGGTTTCAATGTCAGTTCAGTTTTCCAAGCTGTTGCTATGCTATTTGTGTCTTCCTGGTTGGTACCTGTGCCACTCAGGAGCTGCTCTGAAACTAGAGGATGTTTACTTTGTAGTTTCATTTCAAAGGCTTTGCTGTTTTCTTCAGGTGTGCCCTGGTCATATGCAGCTTCTTCCTGGTGCTAGTTTACATAAAGAATCAGGACTCCCTTTCTCCAGCCCTCTTCTCATAGAGATGTCCCCCCATGCTTTCCACTCTTAGAGGTCCTTTCCCTTGTTCTCTGGAAAGAAAGTGGAGCTTCTATGAGAATTTTAGCCCTCTGTGCTATTGTGCTGTTCCCCACAACCAGGGCTGCTCTTGGGCCAAAGAGATGAGAAAAGAGAGAAAAAAATAACAAGGATTTTCCTTCACACTCCTCATGTGACAGATGCTTCTTTTCCTAGTTTCTTTATCTAGTGGGTTGAATTTTTCTCTCAGGGTTTTAGAGGTTTGCACTGCTGCAATGGCCACCCACCACTGTAGTAGTGCAGAGCCATTATTGGAGCTGGCCTTAGAGCTGGGCCGGAACAGGAGAGAGAGAGAGAGAGAGAGAGAAAGAGAGAGAGAGAGAGAGAGAGACAGAATGTTAATGTAACATCAGCATTTGACAATGACTCATTAATTGATTTTTATCAAATCCTTATTTCTTCCCATGCCTCACAGGCAGCACATGTCATTATATGAATAAGCAAAAATGAGTTGTTGCTTTCATGGGATGATTTGGGAAAGACTGATTCTGGTTTTCAATTCCTTTGGATCTTGAAAGCCTTTGAAATATTTAAGACAATGATTACAGTTCAAACAGCCAAAAGGAGGATAATCAGACTAGAAACTAAAAAGTTACAGAAATATGTTCTTTGGAGAAGTAGAGGTGAGAGGAAGAGCATTAAAAGTCAGAAAACTGGGCTCAACAAGGAAGGTGGAGAAGGAACAAAAACAAAGACAGCCACGTATTATTACATGTATTATTAAAATTCTGGCAGCATCAATCAGTCCTGGCACCCATGATGCACCCTGGCTTTGTCACTACTGACAGGGTCAATGCTACCCTTCAGGATCCCCTGTCTTTAAGCCTTGTCCATCACACAAATTCTGCCAATTTTTTCTCTTCGGTGTCTCTTGAATTGGTTTTGTCATGTTTTTTCCCCAGCCATCACCCCTCTGATGCCAAGTGCATCCATTTTACCTGAAATTCTTCAATTAAGTTACAAAAAGTTACTCCTGAAATGACGGTCACTCTAAAGTGGAAAAGTTCAGAGCCCTGTGGAAAAAAGCACACCCAGTTGTTAGCAGCATCAACATGTACATTCCTTTAAGTATTAATAAAAATATACCCTGGGGCCACTGTCCCTATAGATGCTGCATGAAAAGATTCCCATCCTCTTCCTAAGGCTCTCGGACATACACATCATGCATCAAAATAAAAAGATGGATTGAAGTGGAGGGATTCAATAGCTGATACTTTTTTTTTTTTTTTTTTTTTTTTTTTTAGAATGAGGAGACAAAAACTAAAAACTAAACCTGGCCTTGATAAATACTTTGGGCTAATCCTCGTATTTGTGGCTTCAAGATGTTCCCTAATTCTGATTGGTTTTCACAATTATCTGTATTATACCAACTTCATGTATTTTTATGGGCAGCTGGAACCAGAAGATGTGCTCGTCCATATCCAGGTGAATAATACTGAGCCCATTTCTTCCCTTTCACTTTCGGAAACACTCTTTCTTCTCCACTTTGCTAGATAATATGGCTTGCCTATCTGCTCAAAACTTTGGAAATAATAACACCAAGGGAAATGGAGAAAAAAATAAACCCTCTTCATATACTTTAAAGGTATATACTTTAAAGATGTTATTCCCACCATTCCTGGTTACCTATACTTTAGAATTAAAACCAATCTTAGTTTAGACATACATGTTTTATCTAAACTCAACACAGTAAAAACAACAATGCCATCATTACCTTTATGCTTAAGTTGAGACCTGAAGGATTATACACTGCAGCACCAAGAATTGGTTCTACTAATTGTTTCATTCTTTTAATATTTTCTGGCACAGTGTGTTCTAAAAATACATAAAACATATTTTAAGCACACTTATTTTTCTCATTTTGTATTAGGTTGGTGCAAAAGTAATTGCTGTTTTTGCCATTACTTTTAATTTACTATTACTATTTCATTTGCAATTACTAATATAAAATTTGTCATGCACATTAAGGTACAATGAAAGATTTCACTCCATAACATGACCAAGTTATCCCATACTTTTAGTTCTGCTTGACTTTGTAGACGATGTATTTAGGGGAGTTAGGCCCAATATCTCACATTGCCTTCAAGGGCATCCTCAAGAAGTTCAAGACTTCTGATCAGCTTCATGCTGACCTTTTCCTTCCAGCCCCATGCTCAGGATCAGTCCTGACCTGCACGTGCTTCGTGTTTTTGGCAGTAAGGTCATCTCAGGACCTCCTTAGTGATAGGTAAACGATTTATAATAAGGTGGCAGTAAAGTTTTACAATGAGATTACTTGACTATTTTCCTGCCTTTCTTGTCATCCTTTCTAAAACTAGATAGCTAGTGTAGGGGTTAGACGTTGCAGTGGTATAAAGGTACACAGAATCTAAAGGAAAAGAAACAGCTGTGATTGTAATTTCCAATTTCCATAGTGTAAATACTCTCACCCTGACTAATTTCAAGCTACAAATGGTTTAACATCTAGCTTGTAAAATGTTTAAATGTTTAATGATCAGGACTCTAAAACTGGTAAGAACAGTTTCCAGCATACCACAGAAAATGGGGATGTCAGTTAATGCAAAATATTTAGTAGCTTTATTTTGCTGGATTTTTCATTTCAAAAATGCATATATGTTGGCCAGAGTAAGACTCACTGAATACCAAGTGCCTGGATATTTAGTAACATATTAATGGCTGACCAAAATTTCTGTTTAGTTAATTATTTCTATCTACCTACATATCTCCTTAGAGTATTCATACGTGAACACAAAATGTGCAACAAAAAGTTACATATCTGAGGTAAAGTGAATAGGGGTAAACATCTTATTTAAACTATTTCTGCATCTTTTCAATTATTTTACCATAAAACCTTTAAGAAACCTTTAAGAAACTCGTATAATTAGAAGACAGATCCTAAAGATTATCTGGCCCCACCTTTTACAACCTCCTCTGTCACACTGAATGGGCAGAGAAAGGAGATGCCAGACCACCATGCAGCACAAATTCAGTCAGTCATTGTTGTTATTGATCCACAAAATGACCTTCAATTTTTTTGCAGTGTAAATTATTCAAAAATGCTTTTACCCTAGAATCCAGGCCACTGGGAGTGATGATGAAATAAGTAGGAAACAATAGAAGTAAACAGCAATATGCCAACTGATCCAAATCCATTTGCAAGAACTCCTGGCTCTCTTTTGTGTGAACAGGCTTTGAAAACCATTGATCTTTGTAAACCAGTAACAATATTACTTATCAGATAAAATAATTACAGATGAAAGCAAACCCTACTCAGTTTCCAGTTGTGCCTCATGTTCACTTCAGTCACAGTAACCAGATATGGAGATTGCAATGGGACACGTCCATCCTCGTTGATAATTTCCAAAGAAACTGGATATTGTGTAATTGGAAACTTAAAGCGAGGAACCTAAAATACAAATTCCAAGAATGAATGTAAACTTGGGAAAGTCAATAGTCACTTCATTTCCTGGTAAAAAACGAAAAGATATATTGCCAATAGTTTGGCTGTTCAATGACATGTGCTCCTGAGGGGTTTCTGCCTTTTCAGTCATGAAAATGTCTTAGAGCAGAATCAATGTGAACTCCAAAGGCAGTATATACATTGTGGTAACAAAACTCATCACTTCTATAGGCCCTTTTCACAGGAATTTACTATGATGTCACTCAAACTTTTTTTGGCTAAATCATATCCCAGGAGGCTGTGCATAGATTGCTCACCCTCCTTTTGCCACTCTTTCAGCCAGTCAGTCTTGCGGGCACAATCTGTAAACTTGGGCTCTGGCGTCAGAACTCAAAGCCAGCCCCAATGCATGTTAATAATGCGATCTTTGACAAATTGCCTGACTTCTCTGTGGCTCGAATTAAATGAGATAAATCACGGAGAAGGCTTAGAGTAGCATTTAGTAGATAGTAAGTGCTCATGAAACATTATTTTGGTTCAGCAAGGGGGTATATAAAAACAGCCCTCATAATTTACAGAATGCTGGCTAGACACAATGGCTCACGCTTATAAATCCCAGCACTTTGGGAGGTGGAGGCAGGTGGATCACTTGAGGTCAGGAGTTTGAGACCAGTATGGCCAACATGGTGAAACCCCATCTCTACTGAAAATACAAAAATTAGCTGGGCATAGTGGTGGGCACCTATAGTCCCAGCTACTTGAGAGGCTGAGGCAGGAGAATCACTTAAATCCAGGAGGCGGAGGTTGCGGTGAGCTGAGATGATGCCATTACACTCCGACCTGGGCGACAGAGCGAGACTTGGTCTCAAAAAAAGTAAAAACGAAAATAAAATAATAATAATTTACAGAATGCTGACTCTACACCAACATATTGTGTATATACATATATAATATCATATATAGTCTCTAGATGTCTTTTTTTGTTTGTTTGTTTTGTTTTGTTTTTTGAGATAGAGTCTTGCTCTGTCGCCCAGGCTAGAGTGCAGTGACTATCTCAGCTCACTGCAAGCTCCACCTCCCAGGTTCAAGCCATTCTCCTGCCTTAGCCTCCCCAGTAGCTGGGACTACAGGCGCCCACCACCACGCCCGGCTAATTTTTTTGTATTTTTAGTAGAGACAGGGTTTCACCGTGTTAGCCAGGATGGTCTCAATCTCCTGACCTCATGATCCGCCCGCCTCGGCCTCCCAAAGTGCTGGAATTACAGGCGTGAGCCACCGAGCCCGGCCTCTAGATGTCTTACATATGTATAGTCTGTGTAATAACAGTTTCTCAATATACAGTGTCACAAGGACTTTGAAATTGATCTGTTTGAAAGATATACCAACTGCATATTTGTTTTTTTCTTTTTTTTGAGATGGAATCTTGCTCTGTCATCCAGGCTGGAGTGCAGTGGTGCGATCTCTGCTTACTGCAACCTCTGCCTCCCAGGTTTAAGCAATGCTGTCTCAGCCTCCTGAGTAGCTGGGACTACAGGTGCAAGCCACCATGCCCGGCTGATTTTTGTATTTTTAGTAGAGATTGGGTTTCACCATATTGGTCAGACTGGTTTCGAACTCCTGACCTCAGGTGATCCACCGGCGTTGGCCTCCCAAAGTGCTGGGATTACAGGTGTGAGCCACCACACCCGGCCCCAACTGCGTATTTGACTCTTCTAATGCAAATTTTGATACTAACAGAATAAAACATTATTTGACACAGAAGCCTTCTCTTAACCAACATATTACACCGTCTTTCATTTGTGACTGTCAGCAGGCTGAGCTTGATTACAATGACTTTGCCTTCTATATTCCAAGAACCTGATACTAGATACTCAAAGTTATTTTAAATGAATCAATATTTACCATAACCTGGTATATGTTTTACAGACTACAAGTTGCTTTCGTATACACAGGGGTGTGTGTGGGTGTGGGTGTGTGTGCGTCTTTATACAAATGCTGTGGAATGGACAAGGTAGTGCAGGTATTATTGTTTTATTTTACCGATGAGGTTCATTAACTTGCAAGGTACATTTAAATCTGGATCTTTCTAGCTCGGTGTCATATTTAGCTCTGCATCATAATAAGACATTATTTCTATGTCTTAGTTTTCATGTTTAACCTAAAGGCACATTTCAAAATCTTGTTAATAAGAAAGTATCCTGTATTCAGGTAATTAGAAATGATCTTACTTTTTCCCTGCAATCCGAGAAAGCAACAGCATGTGAAAACTTCTGATCCTTTGTGCAGTTACACTCCTCCCGAGTGGAAACATTAGCACACTGTTTGAATTTACCGGTTTTCTGCAAATAGAAGTAACAGATGTTGACTTGTTTTTCTGCGTTGCGGGATTTCTGCAAACTGATAAATATCTAATAAATATTTATTCCCTGAAGAAGTGGAATTCCTGAGAAGTTAAAAGGGGAAAGCAATTCATTAATAATAAAGTAAGAATAGAAGTACAGTATTTCTGAATTTTAGTTGCCCCCTTGCTTGGTAATTTGAACCCAAGTATTACTCAGCCGCTTGCCGTTCACCTCGTGCAGTTGCATGGGACCTAGAAAGCCTGTGTCATTCTGAATTCTGCATCCCAGGACTACCAAACTAACTGCTCTTGGCCCCTGCCAGTGCAGGGATCCAGACGGAAACATAAAATGAGTGGCCTTGATAATGTGGGGCTGCACACTCTCCAAACCTACTATTTCATACTTGTCTTTCTTCATAGCATATGTTGATATTTTAAATCTCCACTATATCTGCCCATTTGTCATTCATTTATACTTGATCTCTCTTGCCATTCATTTATTTTATTATTATTATTTTTAGAGATAGTGTCTTGCTGTGTTGCCCAGGCTTTAGTGCAGGGGCTCAATCATAGCTCACTGCAGTCTTGAACTCCTGGACTCAAGCAATCCTCCCATCTCATCCTCCCTAGTATTATAGTTGGGACTACAGGCACACACCACCACACTTGGCTGATTGAAAAAAAAATTTTTTGGTAGAGAGTCTATCCTGACTATGCAATAGAAAAGAAAAACCCATTTTCTGGGGAGAAATTCAAGCCAGTTGCAGAAATTTGCAAGTAGCAAGGAGCCTACTGTTAATCCTCAAGACTATGGTGAAAATGTCTCCAGACCATGTCAGAGACCTTCATGGCAGCCCCTCCCATCAAAGGCCCAGAGGCCCAGGAGGAAAAAGTGGTTTTGTTGGCCGGGCACAGGGTCCCCATGCTGTGTGTAGCTTAGGGACTTGGTGCCCTGTGTCCCAGCTGCTCCAGCTGTGGCTGAAAGGGGCCAACGCACAGCTCAGGGTGTGGCTTCAGAGGGTGGAGGTCCCAAGCCTTGACAGCTTCCACGTGGTGTTGAGCCTGTGGGTGCACAGAAGTCAAGAACTGAGGTTTGGGAACCTCTGCCTAGATTTCAGATGTATGGAAACACCTGGATGCCCAGGCAAAAGTTTTCTGCAGGGGTGGGGCCTTTATGGAGAACCTCTGCTAGGGCAGTGCAGAAGGGAAATGTGGGGTGGGAGCTCCCACACAGAGTCCCTACTGGGGCACTGCCTAGTGGAGCTGTGAGAAGAGGGCCACTGTCCTCCAGACCCCAGAATGGTAAATCCACTGACAGCTTGCACCTGGTGCCTGGAAAAGCTGCAGACACTCAACATCAGCCCGTGAAAGCAGCCAGGATGGAGGCTGTACCCTGCAAAGCCACAGGGGTGGAGCTGCCCAAAACCATGAGAACCCACCTCTTGCATCAGCATGACCTGGAGTCAAAGGAGATCATTTTAGAGTTTTAAAATTTGACTGCCCTGCTGGATTTTGGACCTGCATGGATCCTATAACCCCTTGGTTTTGGCAAATTTCTCCCATTTGGAATGGCTGTATTTACCCAATACCTGTAACCCTATTGTATCTAGGAAGTAACTAGCTTCTTTTTTATTTTACAGGCTCATAGGTGGAAGGGACTTGCCTTGTCTCACATGAGACTTTGTAATGTGGACTTTTGGGTTAATGCTGAAATGAGTTAAGACTTTAGGGAAGTGTTGGGAAGGGATGATTGGTTTTAAAATGTGAGGACATGAGATCTGGAGGGGCCAGGGGCAGAATGATATGGTTTGGCTGTGTTCCCATTCAAATCTCAACTTGAATTGCATCTTCCAGAATTCCCGCATGTTGTGGAAGGGACCCAGGGGGAAGTCATTGAATCATGGGCGCTGCTGGTCTTTCCCATGCTATTCTCATGATAGTGAATAAGTCTCACAAGATCTGATGGGCTTATCAGGAGTTTCCACTTTTGCTTTCTCCTCATTTTCTCTTGCTGCTGCCATGTAAGAAGTGCCTTTTGCATTATTCACAATAGCAAAGGCTTGGAACCAACCTAAATGTCCAACAGCGATAGACTGGATTAAGAAAATGTGGCACATATATACCATGGAATACTATGCAGCCATAAAAAATGATGAGTTCAGGTCCTTTGCAGGGACATGGATGAAACTGGAAACCATCATTCTCAGCAAACTATCACAAGGACAAAAAACCAAACACCGCATGTTCTCACTCAAAGGTGGGAATTGAACAATGAGAACACATGGACACAGGAAGGGGAACATCACACACCAGGGACTGTTGTGGGGTGGGGGGATGGGGGAGGGATAGCATTAGGAGATATACCTAATGCTAAATGACGAGTTAATGGGTGCAGCACACCAACATGGCACATGTATACATATGTGACAAACCTGCACGTTGTGCACATGTACCCTAAAACTTAAAGTATAATAATAATAAAAGAAAAAAAAAAAAAGAAGTGCCTTTTGAACTCTGCCATGATTCTGAGGCCTCCCCAGCCATGTGGAACTGTAAGTCCAATTAAACCTCTTTCTTTTGTAAATTGTAAATTCTTTTGTAAATTGCCCAGTCTTGGGTATGTCTTTATCAGCAGTGTAAAAATGGACTAATACAATGGGGAGGTCCCAAAAGCTCATTTTTAGCAGGTTGTGAAACCTCATGTCTTGTGAAGAGAAAATAGAGGGGAGGAAGGGAGAAAAAATAAAAAATTAAAAAAAGAACAGTCCTGGAAAAATCAATATAGGCCACATTACTCTGAAGTCCATATATTAGTAGGCAGGTATGAAAGTGGCTTATGTATGTAAATAGGTTGTAGTTATTTTCTCCTGAAGTTTAAGTTGTCTGGCTTCAGTTTGCAGGGTTTTAAGAAAGCACAGCTTAGTTTTCAGTGACTCCAAATAAAGACAAAAGGGGGTAAAAAGGAAGGAAAAAAATTGAAAAAATTATTTTGAAGACTTGTAGTCAAGAAAAATTAGAATTCAGTCCAAACTATAGAAAAACACAAAAATTGAAAAAAATATTAGGCAAGACTAGGATCTAACAACAGGTCTACTGTAGTTCTGAAACATAATTTTTCTCTCTCCAGTTTCCCATTTTTACTAAAGACAAATCACGGTATGACTGGTATGCTTTATTATACTTGGCCTAATATTCGTATACAGTGTAGAAGAAAAATTATTTTTTACATAGGCTTTTAAATTGACTTTGATAGAACTTTGTTCTATAGGAGGAATCTCAGATAAGGTTTATTTATTTATTTATTTATTTATTTTTAATTTATTTATTTTTATTTTAATTCTTTTAGTAGAGATGGGGTTTTACCGTGTTAGCCAGGATGGTCTCAATCTCCTGACCTCGTGGTCTGCCCATCTCGGCCTCCCAAGGTGCTGGGATTACAGGCATGAGCCACCGCACCCAGCCCAGATAAGACTTTTTTAAAGCCGAGCCCAACCATGGATTTGTGCCGTCAAATATCTATGAGTTGTGTGAATTTCCTCTCCTCTTGAGGATCCAAGATAAACCTGGGGCTTCTGTGCCTGTCAGAAAATGGCATTCTTTACTAAGCACAGGTCAGAAACCCTGTACAGGGACTGTGTACACAAAATATGAGGCCAGTTTCCCAAGGGCTTTATTGGCTCCATAAGTCAAGTTTGCTTCCTTAAAGAAAAGCACATCATTCCAGTCAAAGCCTTGGTAAAATAACCAATTCCTCCAATTGTGTCCTATTGCAAAAGAAAACAGATTCTTACTGCACTTATGCAAATAACTATATTGCTATAAATTAAGAATAGTCACAAATAGTTTCCAAATTCTAGAGAAATCAGGTAGAGGGAAACAAATAGGTTCCAAATTTTGTTCACAGGGGTATACTTTACTCAATTATTAAAAGCTGTAAATAGCTTAAAAGAATTGTTTTCTTAACTCTGAAAAACAAAACAAAGTATCAGCAACATTTTAAGCAAAAAGTCAAAAAGATTACTTCCGTTTTCTATTGGTTCAGTTAATTCAGTTAACTCCTATTCTGCTTGATAGTCATGAACATTTCAGCTCTCCATGAGAGTTCTGAAAGTTCCTTTATTCCAATGTCACAATTTCCAAAGTTATCAGAAAACCTGCATTTAAGTGCATCTGTTAGAGTCTGATAGCTAATTATAAATCCACCCCCCTTTTTTTTTGAGACAGAGTCTTACTCTGTCACCCAGGCTGGAGTGCAGTGGCACAATCTCGGCTCACTACAAGCTCCGCCTCCCGGGTTCACGCCATTCTCCTTCCTCAGCCTCCTGAGTAGCTGGGACTACAGGCGCCTGCCACCACGCCCGGCTAATTTTTTGTATTTTTAGTAGAGATGGGGTTTCACCTTGTTAGCCAGGATGGTCTCAATCTCCTGACCTTGTGATCCGCCCACCTTGGCCTCCCAAAGTGCTGGGATTACAGGCGTGAACCACCACACCTGGCCTATAAATCCACCTTTTAAAGAGCATTTAAAACAAGGCAAAACAAGACAATTGTCTGTGGATGAAAAAAAGTTTTAAGGTAGCCATAGTTAAAAGACACAATTGACAAGGAAATTTGTTACCTCTGTGGCACAGGATAATTTTAACATAACAATTATGATTATTACTGATAATGTACACTAAGTTATATCAGAATTACAGGAGTTTCCTATACATTTGGAACAAAGTTAGCTATGTATACAAATATAGCCCAAAGAAAACCAAACACCATTTCATATTTGACAATGCTTCCTGTATAATTTTTACACCAAAATAAGCCAAGTTATGTCATTTTTGGACTTAAGGAACCTAATGTCTTAAAGGACTAATTAGGTTAGAAAAAGACATAATTTTTTTTTTTTTTTGAGACAGAGTCTCGCACTGTCACCCAGGCTGGAGTGCAGTGACGCCATCTCGGCTCACTGCAAGCTCCACCTCCTGGGTTCACTCCATTCTCCTGCCTCAGCCTCCTGAGTAGCTGGGACTACAGGCACCCACCACCACGCCCAGCTAATTTTTTTTTTTTTGTATTTTTAGTAGAGACAGTGTTTCACCGTGTCAGCCAGGATGGTCTCGATCTGACCTCGTGATCTGCCTGCCTCAGCCTCCCAAAGTGCTGGGATTACAGGCGTGAACCACAGCGCCTGGCCAAAAAGATATAATTTATAATTTGATTTTGGAAAGTTTGTCAAATATAAAAGCTTTAAAACACTTGATATTACAAAATAGGATTACAGGTCATTGTAAAGTCATTTATTTAACCAAAGTGATAATTCCAGCATTCCAAAAAAAGTGAAAACCTTCATTATTTGAGTTGAGACTTAATTTTCTAAACAAGAAACCCTAAGAAAAACAGCCCGAAGCCAATTACATTTGTTTTTCAAAATTTTGTAAACAATCTATAAAATTTAATCTTGATTATAAAATATAACTTCCATAAGCCTTTTATAACCTTTATTAAGAAGTTCTTTAATGCTTCAAGAAAACCTTGTTAATCTGACATAGGGATCCATATACTGGTTTTGCATCAGTGTGCCTTTGACATTAATAATTAATTTATAGAGAAACTGAACTTATTTTATCTTTCAAAATTGGCCCTCACAATCTCATGTGCCCACCTCTTCTGCGATAGTCCCCGGGCCTTGAGGAGTTGAATGGCTTTAATTTCTTGCCCTGTGTCTCAGGAATGCAGTTTGTTTTAATTGGCATCTTCTATGGGGCCTGAAGATGAGGCTTTAATTGCTGTCAGTGTTTAAGATTTAGCAGGACTTGGTGTCCTTTTTAGACCCAGGAGTTAAAGCCCTGTAACTCAATGTTACAAGCACTTTAAAAGCACATACAGGAAGATAAATGGATGCAATAACATTAAAACATTTTTTATCTCAGTTTTTTTCCCTAAGCAAACCAAAATTTAATAATAATATGACAACTTGATTATATAAAAGTTTTTGTTTTTTTTTTTAAATATATAAATCCTCTTATTGTGACTTACACTGACTATTCATGACATGGCCAGACTTTCTGATTTGTTCTGAAATTCCCTCCTTTTTAAACAACCAGTTATTTTATTTTAGGACTAAATTTACCACAGAAGATTCTTTCTTATATAAAATTATTTCTTTTTAAGCTTTTTTACCTAAAAATAAAACCTCTTTATTTTTATAACTTTTTTTACATCTTTTTTTATTCCTGGCTCCTTTTACCTTGTTTTATATATAACCTTTAAATAAGCTTTGAATTAGACAAAACTTGTTCACTTTTTTTTTAAAAGGACACATTTTTCTTTCTTTAGCAAGAATGTTTTTCTACAATATATATTTATTGGAAAATACTCAATGAGATATCTATTATTTAATTTAATATAACTTTATATCCTAAATTATGACCAGTTTGTCTACAAGTATTTATCCCATTACATTTACCTAATTGTTTTAATTATTTACCTAGATTATTTATGAAAACTGTGATAGTCATGATTTAAAGTTATGAAACTGCCATTGCAGCATTATAACTGAGACTGTCAGAAAAGATTTGACTGGCCGGGCGTGGTGGCTCACACCTGTAATCCCGGCACTTTGGGAGGCCAAGGCAGGTGGATCACAAGGTCAGGAGATCAAGACCATCCTGGCTAACATGGTGAAACCCCATCTCTACTAAAAATACAAAAAATTAGCCAGGCGTGGTGGCAGGCGCTTGTAGTCCCAGCTACTTGGGAGGCTGAGGCAGGGGAATGGCGTGAACCTGGGAGGTGGAGCTTGCAGTGAGCCGAGATCGCACCACTGCACTCCAGCCTGGGCAACAGAGCAAGACTCTGTCTCAAAAAAAAAAAAAAAAAAAGGAAAAAGATTTGACCTAACTGATTCCATACTGCTCTTAACCTGTAAGCTGTCCTTGTTCATTCCTGGGCATAGGATGAACTAACTTTGGAAGGAACTTGGTTTATAGTTTAGCTTTTAAACAAAGATAACAGTCCTTTCCCAAAACAAACCTCCTTATTGTCTGTGTATCAGACTGACCAAATTTTGGGATATCAGGGATTCATTGGAGGGGTGCTCTCAGACCTCAGCAAATTGTCGTATTGGTTTGATCCATAAAGTTAGCTCATGCTGGTACCAGGCACTGATAAGAGATTTGTCAAAGGTCAGGGGCATCTCCATTCAGAACCCCTTCGTGGTTACCAAAATGTGAACCTAGAAAATCTGAGACAGGTCTCAGTTAATTTAGAAAGTTTACTTTGCCGGCCGGGCACGATGGCTCACGCTGTAATCCCAGCACTTTGGGAGGCCGAGGCGGGCGGATCACGAAGTCAGGAGATTGAGACCATCCTGGCTAACGCGGTGAAACCCCGTCTCTACTAAAAATACAAAAAATTAGCTGGGTGTGGTGGCGGGCGCCTGTAGTCCCAGCTACTTGGGAGGCTGAGGCAGGAGAATGGCGTGAACCTGGGAAGCGGAGCTTGCAGTGAGCTGAGATTGTGCCACTGCACTCCAGCCTGGGCGGCAGAGCAAAAAAAAAAAAAAAGAAAGTTTATTTTTATTTTGCCAGGGTTGAGGATGCACCCGTGACACAGCCGCAGGAAGTCCTGACAACATCTGCCCAAGGTGGTCAGGGCAAAGCTTGGTTTTATACGTTTAGGGAGACATGAGACGTCAATCAATATATATAAGAAGTACATTGGTTCAGTCTGGAAGGGGAGGACAACTTGAAGCAAAGGCACCAAGACTCAAGTGGGGAGGGAGCTTCCAGGTCACAGAAAGGTGATACACAAATGGTTACATTCTTTTGAGTTTCTGATTAGCCTTTCCAAAGGAGGCAAATCAGATATGAATCTATCTCAGTGAGCAAAGGAGTGACTTTGAATAGAAAAGGAGGCAGGTTTGCCCTAAGCAGTTCCCAGCTTGAATTTTCCTTAGTGATATTGGGGGCCCAAGATATTTTCCTTTGACACCACTGAATGGATATAGCACATTTTGTTTATCCATTCATCAGTTAATGCGCATCTGATTGTTTCCACTTTCTGGCTGTTATGAATAATGCTGCTATGAAGTTTTTGTCTGAACATATGTTTTCAATTCTTTTGGATATATCTAGGAGTGAAATGGCTGGCTCATACAGTAATTCTATGTTTAACTTTTTGAAGAAGCACCAAACTGATATCCATAACAGCTGCACCATTTTGCATTCCTGCCAGCAATGCATGAGAGTTCCAGATTCTCCACATTCTCGCCAACAATTATTTTCATTAAAAAAGCAATTATTATAGCTATTCTAATGACTGTGAAGGGATATCTCAAGTGATTTTGATTTGTATATCTCTAATGACTAAGACGTTGAGTATCTTTTCACGGGCTTGTTGGCTGTTTATATATCTTCTGTATTAGTCCATTCTCATACTGCTATAAAGAAATACCTGAGACTGGGTAATTTATAAAGAAAAGAGGTTTGGGTTTGTTTGTTTTTGTTCTGTAAGAATTTAATGTGTAAACATACAGAAAAGTAAGCATTATAGCAACCAAACAGTTTTGCTCACGATAGCAATTTTAAAGACACTTCAACACATACTTTTATGTAAGAGGCTAATTCTGCAAAATAACATTCACTTTCCTATGGAATAATTTCACTGTCTCAGATTTTAAGCCAGAAAAATGAGATTCATGCTGGTAAAGCAACCTGCAAATCCTGCATGTTCTCACAAATAGTATACTTTAACATGGTAAAAAGATCTTCCAAAGGGAGGAAAGAAGGCTCTTAAAGGGGATGGCTGGTGCCTCCCAGAGTAAATCCTTGCCCCAAGGGGCTGCCCTGCTATCTTCAAGACTAAAATGGTCATCACAAATTCAAAGCTAAAAAAAGAAATAACTTTTACCTTCGGTGTATTTGCCTGTTTCAAGTGGTTATCTGCAGATTTATGATAAGTCAGTAAACAGAACAATATTGATAAGATTTCTGAGAACTAAATGGTATTTGGCTCTGGTACGAAGGAGTTGAGAGAATACAACACCTATGTTAATTATCAGCTGCAAATGACAACTTTATGTGAGGTTTCTACTCTAAGGCTTACTTTATTCATGTATTCCATTTAGAATCTTAAAATTTTTTGATACTTCCTTTAAACAAGAAGTAATTCACAAATGCTTAACATAGCACTAAATTAATAAAATAGGTCCTCACACCCATCTTGAATTACTAAAGAAAGTATTGCCATTGAAAGTGATCTTTTTCCTGAGAAAGTTATGTTGCAAAATGGCACAAGACAATACACTTTTTCTCTAATTTTCCACAGGAATACAAGATAGGAAAATCAGATTACAATATATTTTGTGAGGAAAACATGTTTCTTAAAATTGTGTTTTCAGTTACTCTCCAAACAACATATTTTTAGAGGGTGAGAGCCAAATGTAAATTAAGAAGTGATCTTTATGGCAAGAGAATGAATATATATGGTAAATTTTGGTTGGTGTTTACACAATTTTTGTAGGAAATTGTTTACGAGTGGAGAAACTAAGGCACAGAAACAACCAAGCTCAGGTTCAAGGTTGAGTTTAATAGTACAGGTAGAAATAGAATCTAGGGATCTGATTCTCACATTAGAGGATAATAATATCTTCCTAAAGGGGAAAAATAAATTTTTTTTGGTAGATCACATTGATAAATCATTTTTGAAATACATAATATGAATTTCCTTGAAGATCTTTGGCATTTGTGAGAGTATTTGTAGGTTGAGGTTTTTAGGTATTTTTTCCCCAAAAATATATAAAGTTAGGGGAGCTAGCTCTAAACAACAAAAAAATTAATCTTAATTTCAAAATGACCTGAGTTCATTTTGCATTTTTATATAAATCAATAGTACAGCTTGCATACATAAAAGGCCACCACACTTCACTTCATAGAGTTCACACACATGCATTCTACAGTGATATTTATATGATCAGAACTTATTTCACACTTACATAAAGTATAAAATTAAATGTCTTAGTCAAATTTTTCATAAGCCCAACTACTTGAAGATGTCAAAGTTATTACAGTGGGATGATTAATTCATATATCATACAGTATTAGGTTAGTCCCAAATTCAAGTATTTATAATATTCACCTCATGTGAAAGTTTCTTTGTACTGGCTAAGCTGTGAGCTGTGAAATTTATATTGCTTAGCTTGGTATTTTTCCCTGTGTGTATGTTTTCCATCACAAAACCTCTATCTCACAATTCTGTACTTGTAAGAGGTCAGGTAGGTTTATGTAGTCATAATGCAGTAGTCTAGAACATACCATGTAAAAATAAAAAATAAAATTATTTTCAAGTTTGTTTTTAAAGTGCTCCATGTGCTGTATTATATCAACTTTCAAATTCTAGAAATCCATTATGACTAGCAATAGTCTTAGAAAAGATCAGCAGTTAAGCAAGAATGTATGTATACATAGATTAAGGGAGCAAAAATTATTTAGGCACATTCATATTCAAATAATACAAAAAAATCCACGAGAGTACATAAGAGAGATGGCAGAAGGGTTTAGAAGGAATGTCAGAGTGTCAGGGACTAATTTGTAAGGTAACTAGAATGTAAACTCAAAGTGGTTTTGAATATTTTGGTAACAAATATTTGTACAAAAAAAAACAAAAATAAAAATACTTATTCCTTATCAGAAATAAAATATAAAACAAATCTGTCCAAATGTTCAGAAGCTGCATCATAAAAACATTTTTTGAAAAATTTCATGCCTACTAGGTTGCTTCATCCATGTTGTCATCACTGTCTGCACCAAAATCATCTCCATCTTCAAAGTATGAATTAATGTAGTCATTTCCCTCTTCTTGCTCTTCTTCATCATATCCCTCCTGTTCTGCAGCATCATTGTCATCATCATCATCACCTTCTCTACTTTTCTCTTTGCTTCCTTCTTTCTCTTCTTTTCTCATCTGATTTTTCATCATCACCTCTCTTTTCCAATTCCTCAATTTTTTTCAACACATCTGCAGTATTAGTGAGTGATGTGCCTTTGCCTGTGTCTTTTGCCTTTTTGGGTTTTGGGCCTGCTTTTTTACATTTATTTCTTGGCATCATCTCTCTTGGAAGTCTTCTCCAATCTGGTATCCACTCTTCCTTGTATACCTTCATGTATCTTTTACTATACCTTTCAATATCTTGTCTTTCTTCATGAGGGTGTTTCAATAAAATAGGGCATTCTTTTCATTGTTTCTCTCAACTCCTGTTTCAAAGCCAGCATATATTATTCACCTTCTCCTGTCTTCAGTGGCACTGGTTTATAATCTGTATCAGGAAATAGTGGGGGTGGTTTCAACACTACATCAGGTAACTTTTTACCTTTGCTAAATCCAACAGCCTCAATATTAAAGGTATAAGCAGCACGTCCTCATCCTTTATTCCCAGCCATCAGAACTAGTTATACCAGATGAGTGGGCAAATTCTGCTCCCTAAGTCTTAAAGTGTGGGCAAAACTCTGCAGCTGAAATGCCGGCCAGCAAGGAAGGGGTGCAGGCAGAGGACCCCACCGCTCTAGAGCCTGAGAAGCGCGCACTGCCCTCAGAAGAGAGGTTTAATTGGCTCACAGTTCCACAGGCTGCACAGGAAGCATGGCAGCATCAGCTTCTGGGGATGCCTCAAGGAACTTACAATCATGGCAGAAGGTAAAAGGGAGTGAGGCAGGAAGAGAGGGAGGAGGAGCAGGAGGTAGAGAGAGAAGGGGGAGTTGCTACAGACTTTTAAACACCAGATCCCATGAGAACTCTATCACGAGAACAGCACTAGTGGGATGGTGCTAAACCATTCGTGAGAGACTGCCCCCATCATACATGAGGCCTCACCTCTAACACTGGGGATTACAATTCGACATGAGATTTGGTGGGGACACAGATCCAAACCATATCACCTTGTCTGGAGAAATGTCTATTCAAGAACTTCATCTATTTTTTTTTTTTTTGTCTCTCTCTCCCTCCCTCCCTCCCTCTCTGTCTGTCTCTCTCTCTCTCTCTTCTTTCTTTCTTTCTTTTATGGAGTCTCACTCTGTCACCCAGGCTGGACTGCAATGGTGCAATCTCAGCTCACTGCAATCTCCACTTCCTGAACTCCAGTGATTCTCCAGCCTCAGCCTCCTGAGTAGCTGGGACTACAGGCACATGCCTGTCTTTTCTCCAGGAAGATCCAACAGGAAAAAAGAAAGAAATCTCTCTGATTAGACTCCAACCATACCCCACCCTCCATCACATTGACTGGATAGGCATAATGGAAACCAGAACATGTGGTTTCCAAACAAGAAAAATCCTATGAGGGATGGGAGGAGGGGAGAGGAAGGATTCAGCCAGTGCCCAGACTGAAATTGATTAATGTCAATTGCACTCTTCTTCACACATCTTCAGGTTGCATGTTCGTGGAGTAGTTTAGGAATAAATCCACAGCTTGTGGAGTACTAAAATACCTAGTGGTCTGCTGTATTACATTATGGCCTTCCCCAGCAGCTTCCAAGGCAGCCTCCAAGTCACTGGCAGGAGAATTTGGCTGGAACTGCATGGAGGACTGCAGAGATTCCTCTCCATAGTTATAGAAGGGACTGTTCCAGGCCTGATTGTTCCAGGACTGGGTGCACCAGGTCTGAGTGTTCCAGGAGTGGTTGCTCCAGGACTGGATGTTCTGGGTCTGGTTGCTCCAGGTTGAATTGTTCCAGGTCTGGTTGCTCCACATTGGAAAGTTCCCAGTCATGTTCACCAGGCATCCCCAGTGGTAGGAAGAGTAGAGGCTGGGGTAGGTAGGTGCTGAGGCCTTCTGAGTCACACCATTGCTATTCTTTGGCCAGTTGTTTTCCTGCCACCTCTTAGATTTCATTCTCTGGTTCTGGAACCACGTCTTAACCTGTTTGTAGCTGAGGTTCAGGATGTTGGAAAGTTCTTGCATCTGCTGGAGGCTGAAGTATTTCTGTCCCTGAAATCTATCATTGAGTACAAACAGCTGTGTGGAAGAGAACACAGTTCTGGTCTTCTGTTTCTTGAATGGGACCTTGTCTTCCTTTTTTCTGGCACTCTTCTCTGCAGAAGTGGGTTGTTTGCCTTTGGGAGGGGTGGAAGAATCAGGGCTGTCCTAAATAAGCAGATCCACGGAGGAAGGAAGAGGAGAGACAGTCTCCATGTGAGGCATCTCAGCAGAAGACATTTGCAAGGATGGATAGTTTTCTTCAGGCCCACAAATCACAGGTGTAAGTGAAGAGTCTTTACAGACGGATGCGTTGGAGCAAGGCAGGCTTTGTGAACAAGCTGGAGCCACACTCATGTTATTATTGGGGAAGAGGAGGAAAAAATTTAAGAGCTGGACTGGAAAAAAGGTTAAGGTGGCTTTAAGACTTTTTTCTGGAAGATCTTAGAGAAATATGACCTCCAGAAGCGAAAGTATCAAGAGGTTGGGATGAAGTGAGTCGCCGCCACAGTAACCATCATGTTACTTTCTTGCTTAAAACCCTAGATGGCTCTTGATTTCTCTTAGGATAAAATTTGAAATCATTTCCACGGCCGAGGAGATCCTGTAGCATTAGGGCCTGCTGTCCCCAAACTCTTTCGCTGGCTCATTATGTTCCAGGCTGAATGGTCTTTAAGTTTGTCAGAGACACTGAGCCTTTCCCCATCGCCACTCTTTGTATCTGGTGTTGCCTCAGCCTGGAATGCTGTTTGACTCCCTTTCCCCTCCTCTCTGTTACCACTCTCTCCTCCTTTGTTTGGTTAACCCCTATCCATCTTTCAGTCTTGACTCAGAAGCATTTCCTCTGGGATGTCTCTCCTGACTCACTCATACTCTGTTTTGTGTCTGATCTACTACTGGCCTATCTTAAACTCTTTAAAATGCAGATTTCAGCTGGGCGCTGTGGCTCACGCCTGTAATCCCAGCACTTTGAGAGGCCGAGGCGGGCGGATCCCTTGAGGTCAGGAGTTCGAGACCAGCCTGGCCAACATGGTGAAACCCCGTCTCTACTAAAAATACAAAAATTAGCTGGGTGTGGTGGTGGGTGCCTGTAATCCCAGCTGCTTGGGAGGCTGAGGCAGGAGAATCGCTTGAACCCAGGATGTGGAGGTTGCAGTGAGCCAAGATCGCGCCACTGTACTCCAGCCTGGGCGACAGAGCAAGACTCCGTCTCAAACAAACAAACAAACAAATAAAATGCAGATTTCAGGATGGTACCTCATAGTTTCTGATGCAGTAGCTATGAGATTCAGAAAGATGCATCGTAGAAATATTTTTGGGGTGGGTGCAGTGGCTCATGCCTATAAACTCAGCACTTTGAGAAGCCGAGGTGAATGGATCACATGAGGTCAGGAGTTTGAGACCAGCCTGGTCAACATGGCAAAACCCCGTCTCTACTAAAAATGCAAACATTGGCTGTGCGTGGTGGTGCACGCCTGTAATCCCAGCTACTCAGGGGCCTGAGGCAGGAGAATCGCTTGAACCCCTGAGGCGGAGGTTGCAGTGAGCTGAGATCACGCCACTGCACTCCAGCCTGCGTGACAGAGCGATACTCCGTCTCAAAACTAAACAAAACAAAAAATATTTTCGAATAATTCTGGTTCAGGATATGCAGGGCCGTACTGTTCAGAAGCCCTGCACTCGATGACGCTATTTAATTTGTATGTCTTTTTGCTTAAGATATACAAATTCTCACCTATTAGAGTCCATGAAGCTACCATGCTTATCTTGTGCATTGCTGTATCTTCAGAAAATGTCTGGATAGTGCCTGATAACACTGGAAATGGTGAAATTAACACTTGTTGGATGCATAAAAGATGGGGTAGTAATCATTAGGTGTACATACATTCCCTATTTAACTCACAAGAAAATCCTGGTGAAAAACCTGGGAAATCAAGGATTTCCATGTAAACATAGTAAAGTCATATTTCAGTAGAGGAGGTGGTTCTTTGTCTTTGGGAGAAACTGGACGTGGAGAAGAACTCAGTATCATAGCTAATCATTGCCTGGAGCAGAGCTTCTTAACCTGAAACCCAAGATTTCACAAGAAGTCTGTTCACTTCCTAATTGTGTGTGTGTGGGCGGGGGGGGGGGGGGCGGTGAATGTGTATTAATATGTTTCACAATTTTAAAGCATTCTCTAAGTCTGTCACTGTTCTGGGCACTGGGGATATAGTAGAGAAGAAATAGATAAAAACCTCTACCTTATGAGCTTACCTTCTCATGGGGTCAGAAAGACAAGAAATAAAATAAGTGAGTAAAATAGGTAAAACCGTAGTAAGCGATATGGAGAAAAATAAGGCAGGGAAGGAGGGGAGACAGTGGAGATGGGGGTTATGATTCTAAATAGAGTGGTCAGAGAAGGGCTTACTGTGATGGTGACTTGAGGAAAAGCACCTGAAGAGTCAGCCATGTGGTATCAGGCAGAAAAGCATTCCACACAGAGGGATTTTCTGCAACTGTGAAGGCCACGGGGTGGAAATACGCCCAGCATATTGGAGAAACAGCAAAGAGGCCAGCATGGCTAGAGCAGATCAAGCTGGGAAAATCAGGTCAGACGTAATGTCAAGGCCAAAGTCCAAGGAGGACTTTATAAACCATTGCAAGAATTTGGTTTTCACTCTGAATGAGATCGGAAGACAGTGGAGAGTTTTGAGCTAAAGAAACACCAATTTTATGTATTCGTGTACGTGCACATGTGTATGAATGAATATGACTGTCTGTGCATGTGTATGGGCAGGTGGGTGCATTTTTCTGGAGAGATTCCACAGGCGTCCATGTGGTCTCCTTGAGAAGCTGCCCCACGCTGCACTTTTCCTCTGAACCTAATGGCTCCTCCCTTGTCTCCCTCCCTCCCTCCCTCCACCTTTAGGGAGGCAGGGTGCTGCTGGGAGTTGGTTATTTTCTAGGCAGAATCTTAGCAGGAGTTTAAATGTGCCTGCATTGGAGCAGGCAGTTTTCTTCCCTCTTGGACATCATTCCGTTCACAGAGCTGAAGAGCTGGGGGCTCCTTTCATTCGAGAAAAGATGCTCTCACCCCATCAATGAAATCCAAATGGGAACCAGGGAGAGTCAAGGGGGAAAGCATCCATTTGGACTTCTTGGCTCCAAAACTGTATTCAGGAATAGCTGTAAGAGGAGGGGCTAAAGTAGAAGGAGGAGGAACAGAGTAGCAATCACGATAATAACAGCTTCACCTACTCATTTAACACTTATAGCTATATATATAATTTTACTGAATGATTTCCTGAATTCAAATAAGTGCTAGATTATTTGTAAAAAAGTTATTTACCTTTGACATGTGAAACATGTTTCTTGGTATGGGTTTGCTAGGATCTGCATGATAAAAATTATCTGTGAGTGGAATAGCAATTCCCATATTAGATGGAGGCCTGTAGTTTATCTGCAAGTGATTAAACAAAGAAAATGTACAATTCATTATTATGAAGTCTTTAATTTATAGATCTTGACTTTCTAGAAAACCAATCAAGGCAAAAATTCAATTTTTAGATACAGGTATTAAAGTAAATTTATCTCCCCCAACTTTTCTACCCCTCATTTTCTGGAATTTCAACAATTTTAACCAATGATAATATAACTTGTAAATAAGTGAAAAAACTGCCATAAAGTCAATGCAATAAAGTTTAAACACTTTATCAAAGAGTCTTAGTGATGTATCATAGTTAGTAAATAATTCTTCAAGTTTGGTTATTTGCTTTTTGTCACAAAGAAAATTATAAGTAATAAATTAGTTGATAAAGAGCAACATTTTATATTTAAAAAGAGTCACAAATTCTGACAAGGCAAAAGTTAAAATTATTACATTGAAATGGGTAGATATATAGTTGACCCTTGAACAACACAGGGGTTAGGGGTGCAGACCTCCTGTACAGTCAAAAATTCACATATAACTTTTGACCACCCCAAAACTTAACCATTAATAGCCTACTGTTGACCGGAAGTCTTACTGGTAATATAAAGTCGATTAATATATATTTTGTATGTAATATGTATTATATGCTGTATTCTTACAATAAAGTGAGCTAGAGAAAAAATGAAAATGGATTTATAGTACTATTCTGTATTTATGGATACTGTAACTTTACATCATCTGTTTACAAGGTGAATTGTCTGTCTGAAATCCAGGGAAACTGCAGCTGAAGAACCTCAATCTACAGTGTGCTTCAAGAAATTCACCTTTTTTTTTTTGTAATGTCATGACTTTTCTCTGCCTCTTGGGAGTACTTCCAGCACCACTTCATATGGAACCCATGGTGTTATTTAAGGTTTACAGTATCACACGATGAAAAGTACATTAGAGCCACGAGAGGTCACTTTTTATTGTGAATTGCAATTTACTGGCTAGGTGAACTGCTCACATGCAGATGAATAGCCTCTCAGGGCATTTTAAAGGAATACTGGCAACATTACAGTTCACCCAAGTAGCACCAGAAGGCGGCTACAAAATTATTACAGTAGTACAGTGTGTACTACAGCTGATTTTATGCAGTTATGATTTAATACTGTATCTTTACATTTGCTTACATTTCTCTGGCTTGATGTACTATCTGTGTTTGTGTGTGTAAGTTTTGATAAATTTTAACTTTTTATAATGGATTTGTGTATAGTTTATGATAGCAAATGATAAAATAGACTAGTATCTATATATATTTTATGCATTCATGACATATCCAACTTTTTATTAATTGTTTAGATATTTCTTTTTAAAATTTATGTATTTATTTTTGAGACAGAGTCATGCTCTGTGCTCTGTTGCTCAGGCTGGAGTGCAGTGGCACCATCTCCGCTCACTGCAACCCCTGCCTCCCAGGCTCAGCCTCCCGAGTAGCTGGGATTACAGGCGCGTGCCACCGTGCCGGGCTAATTTTTGTATTTTTTGTAGAGATGGGGTTTCTCCATGTTGGTCAGGTTGGTCTCGATACCCTGACCTCAAGTGATCTGCCCGCCTTGACCTCCCAAAGTGCTGGGATTACAGGCGTGAGCCACCACGCCTGGCTGATTTTTTCTGCATTTCTAAGCTATGAGGTTTGTCTGTGAATTTTTTCAATTGTCACAAAATTCCAAAAGAAGTCCAATATATTTCTTGAAAAAAATCCGCATGTAAGTGGACCTATGCAGTTCAAACCTATTGTTCAAAGGCTAATTGTATCAGCTTAGGACAAGTCAATGTAAGGGAAAATAGTTGAATATATCACAAAAGACAAAGATCACACCAACATATAAAGTGTAAAATGATAATAATAATGACACTAAGTTACCAGGAAAAATAATTATTTCAGAAAGCTTTTACAGCTTAGAAATCATCACATCCTCAAAATGACATGAGGATTAAAAAATAACTGTGAAGTGTTTTGAGCCACTCACAAAAGAAATGCTGAAACTGAATGGGTAGGCAATCACACAAAAGTCACATAGCATTGCTTCTTAAACCAATATACTTAGATTTTTTTTTTTACCGGCAAAGTTTTGATGAGGTTAAAACCCTGACTGTCTTTATGAACTCCACTAATCCAGTCTTCAAATGGGATAAATTTGCTAGGAATGTGATGCATAGATCTGAGATAACTACAGCTGCTTTTCAGTGTTGGCACCATTGTCGTAACAAAGCACTCAGTAGAGGCTGACCACATAATAAATGCCAGTGAAGTTGAACCCTGGAAATAACCAAATAAATGAAGGTTATTTAAAGTAACTGTTATGGACTGAACTGTGTCCAACCAAAAATCACATGTTGAAACCCCAACCTCCAGTATCTCAAAATGTGGCTGTATTTGGAGATAGGGCCTTTAAGGAGGTAATTAAGGTAAAATGAGGTCATTTGGGTGGGCCCCAATCCAGTGTCACTGGTGTCATCTTATAAGAAGAGGAGATTAGGATATAGACAACACAGAAACTGAGGGGCAACCATATGAGGACACAGCAAGAAGATGGCCATACACAAGCCAAGTAGGGGGGCTGCAGAGGAAACTAACCCTGCTGATATCTTGCTCTTGAACTTGTAGCCACTAGAACTGTAAGAAAATAAATTTCCATTGTTTGAGTCACCAAGCCACCAAGTCAGTGGTATTTTGTTGTGGCAGCCATAGCAAACTAATATAGTGAAGAATATAGAAAACTAAAAAATATAGAAAAAGAAAAGAAATACAAAAAGACATGACAGAAGTAGAAAAATATTTGACCATAAAGATCTGTTTGAGAATAAATCATAATAGAAAACATATTCTTTTCCAGGAAGAAATATATTCCAATCTAATTGGTTCGGGGAAGTATTTGGAAATAAGCTAGGATCAAGAACCTGAGGACTGGCTGGGCACGGTGGCTCACGCCTGTAATCCCAGCACTTTGGGAGGCTGAGGTGGGTGGATCACCTGAGGTCAGGAGTTCAAGACCAGCCTGGCCAACATGGTGAAACCCCACCTCTACTAAAAGTACAAAAATCAGCCAGACGTGGTGGCATATGCCTGTAGTCCCAGCTGCTTGGGAGGCTGAGGCAGGAGAATTGCTTGAGCCTGGGAGGTGAAGGTTGCAGTGAGCCAAGATAACACCACTGCACTCCAGACTGGGTGACAGAGCTAGCCGTCTCAAAAACAAACAAACAAACAAAAAAACCAAAACCAAAAACAAAACCAAAAACAAAAAAAGAAACATGAGGACTATAGTTAATAATACTGTATTATATTCAGTACTTGAGTATTTTTGCTGAATTAGCAGATTATAGCTGCTTTTACCACATTAGGGGAAAGTGGATGCCTATGTGAGGTATTTATTCCACAATGGTAATCATTTTACTACATATATGTGTCTTACAACAACACATTGTATTCCTTAAATATACACAACAAAATTTATTTTAAAATATTTTTTAAAGACTTATTAAATAAATACCACTGTTACATCCAACTCATATCGTTGAGGCTTCCCCATTCACTGATGAGCACCTGAATATTTGGTTTGATGATATAAATAAAATAACTTTGATTGTTTACTGTTTTCTTTCTTTCTTTCTTTCTTTCTTTCTTTCTTTCTTTCTTTCTTTCTTTTTTTAAGAGATGAGATTGCGCTCTGTCACCCAGGCTGGAGTACAGTGGCACTATTATAGCTTACTTCAGGCTTGAACTCCTGGGCTCAAGCGATCCTCTCACCTCAGCTTCCTGAGTAGCTAGGACTATAGATGTGTGCCACCACACCTAGCTTTTGAAATCTGAAATTTACTCTTAGCAATTTTGAAATGTACAATACTCTATTATTAACTATATTCACCATGCTGTGCAAATAACTAAAAAAATTTTTTTAAATTTTTATAGAGACGGGGTCTCGCTGTGTTGCCTAGGCTGGTCTCGAACTCCTGGCCTCAAGTGATCCATCTGCTTTGGCCTCCCAAAGTGTTGGGAACAGAGGTATGAGCCACCATACTTAGCCTGATTGGTGTACATTTTGAAAATAAAATTCACTTAGTAATCACTGTATTTCATAAAGATAGATTTTTATCTAGATTTTTGCTAGATTTTAAAAATATACGCACAGTAAATATACTTGATCTTTGAACAATATTAAACAGCAGTGCAATTCAATAAATTCTATTTACAATTCTGAAGTATTTTTGGAACTTTAAAAATGTAGAAATACTAATAACCGTAGTGATATAGTAGGTTCTGGTAGTGGTCATTTTGTCCTGTCCCCATACTCTGTAGCCATTAAGAATAACGTATTTTTATTACTTTTGTCAAACACATTGACACTGAATTTAAGCAGAGTTCCACTATTAAAGGAAATACAGAGGTCTAATGGCAAAAGTTAAGATACAAGGAAGCAAACAGAAAAATCTGGAATGTTGGAAATTCTATAGTACAACTGACCCAATTTCTACAATTCAATGGCAGGGGAAGAAAATGGAGTAGTAGCTGCCTTCAAATAAAAGACTTAAAAGATAAACAACCATATACTGTGTGAATCTTGTTTTATCTCAGTTCAAACAAACTGACTATAATTTTTTTTTAGAAAATTAGGGAAATTTGATTATGAACTACATTTTATACAATATTAAAAAGTATTTTAAAAAATTTTAGGGATGATAATGGCTGTTGTCATTATGTGGGAGATAACATACTTTTTTTAGAGATGTATATTGAAGTATGTGGGCATGAAATCATATGCCTGATGTTTGTTTTAAAATACCTCAGAATACAAACAAAACAAATTAAATAGGGATGATAAAACAAAAGTAGCACAATCTTGACTATTGTTTAATTTAGGTAATGGATGTATGGAAGTTCTACTTTTGTCTATATCTTAAAGTTTTCATGATAAAAAAATTTTAGAATATGTAAGAAAAATATTGACTTGAAAGGATTAGAACATACAGTTAAATGGAATGAGCACGTCTAAAAGTGTATATACCATGTGTCCTAATTTCAGGGAAAAAAAAGAAAATATTGTAAGTTAATAGTTATTGAGCATTTTCTGGGTGCCAGGCAATGTTTTAGATATGCTATTTGTAGTATTGTTAGAGTAGGCAGAAGTGAGCAGGAAGAAGAGCCTCTGGGAAAGGAATCCTTGGAGATGCTGCCCACTGATTGCAGGCACTGCCCACTGATTGTCAGCACTGCCAACTGACAGCAAAGAAAAAAAACAATGGCTACAATGGCAACTTCTGGCCTCATGGACTGGGCTTATCAGGCTTATTAGGCCCTAGTTGGAGATAACTGTGGTAGGGACTCTATCTGATGACAAGCACCGCACTCCTCCAAAATCTCGCCCTAGAGTAGCCTTTTGCTCATTATAATACTAAAAAGCACACCCTGGGTGGAGAATTTAAATGCTAATGAGAAATGTGATGTGTGTCCTAGCATGTGCAACCACAGCGCATGCACCCAAGGGACCACTTGAAACATGCTTGCAAGTAACACCCCCTCATGGTCCTTCATGAATAATCATGTAAGATTCTCATGAAGAAGGTTTCACTAACGCTAGTTGGAGCTGCATCATTCTCTTGAGCAGCCAGCTCTGAGCGTATTGTTGCTTTAAATAAACTCCCTTGCCGCACGTCTCTTGGCTGAATTTTTTCCTCCAAGAAGACATGAACTGAGGACCCCGCACCCCTCCTGGTAACACTATCACATTTAATTCTCAAAACAACCATGTGAAGTAGGTATATTGTCACCTCCATTTTACAGATGAGGGATCTTAGCCACAATAAAGTAACTTTCCCAAGGTCACACAATACCAGAAGTGAGAGCCAATCCAGGTAGTCTTCTCTAGGGCTCTGAACTTTTATCCTCTGTTCTGAACCTCTACACTGCCTTTTTAAATACCCAAAATGTTAAAAGTGCTTAGTCATCCTTAAAAGATATGGCTAGGTGCAGTGACTCAGGCTTGTAATCCTAGCACTTTGGGAGGCCTAGGTGGGTGGATCGCTTGAGCCCAGGGCTTTGAGACCAGCCTGGGCAACATGGTAAAACCCCATCTCTACTAAAAACACAAAAATTAGCCAGGAATGGTGGGCCTTTAGTCCCAGCTACCAGGGAGACTGAGGTGGGAGGACTGCTTGAGCCCAGGAGCCCAGTACCTTGAGACCAGCCTGGGCAACATGGTAAAACTCCATCTTTACTAAAAACACAAAAATTAGCCAGGCGTGGTGGGCCTGTAGTCCCAGCTACTAGGGAGACTGAGGTGGGAGGACTGCTTGAGCACAGGAGGTCAAGGCTGCAGTGAGCTGTGATCACACCACTGCACTTCAGCCTGGGCATCAGAGAGAGACCCTGTCTCAAAAATAACCAAAACAAAACAAAAGATAGATAGAATTAAGCATATTTTTTTCCTTCTCTTTCATAACTTACATTATAAATTTGCTATAATTATGAATATAATGTGGAATAATTAAATCAATCTAGTTAACATAGCCATCACCTTGAATACTTAATCATTTTGTGGTGAGAACATTTAGAATTTACTCTCTTAGCAATTCTGAAACGTACAATACTATATTATTAACTATATTCACCATACTGTGCAATAGAACTAACAAAAACCCATATTCTTCCTGTCTGAGATCTTGTACCCCAGGGGTCCCCAACCCCCGGGCTGAGGACCAGTACCAGTCTGTGGACTGTTAGGAACCTGGCCTTACAGCAGGACAGCAGGAGGTGAGTGGCAGAGAAGCATGTATTACTGCCTGAGCTCCACCTCCTGTCACATCGGCGGCAGCATTAGATTCTCATAGGAACTCGACCCCTATTGTGAACTGCACATGCGAGGGATCCAGGTTGCACATTCCTTATGAGAATCTAATGCCTGATGATCTGAAGTGGAACAGTTTCATCCTGAAACCATGCCCCCGCATCCCATTCCATGGAAAAACTGTCCTCCATGAAACTGGTTCCTGGTGCCAAAAAGGTTGGAGACCACTGTTGTACCCCTTGACCATCCTTCTTACCTCCAGCTCTGTAACCACCATTTTGTTCTCTGCTTCTATGAGTTCAATTTTTTAGATTTCACATACAACCGAGGATGTGTGGTATTTATCTTTCTGTGTGCCTGGCTTATTTCACTTAGCATAATGTTCCAATTCCATCATTTTGTTGCAAATCACAGACTTTCCTTCTTTTAAAAGGCTGAGTAGTATTACATTGTGTATATATTCCTGCACCATATTTCTTTATCCATTCATCTCTTAATGAACTTTTAGGTTGACCCGGTAACTTGGCTGTCCTGAATAGTGCTGCAGTAAACACTGGTACACAGACATCTTTTTGACAAATGGATTTGAAATATTTTGGGTAAATACCTAGATTTGAAATTGCTAGATCATACAATAATTCTACTTTTAGTTTTTTGAGGATCATACATACAGTTTTCCTTTTTTTTTTTTTTTTGAGATGGAATCTCTCTCTCTGTTGCCCAGGCTGGAGTGCAGTGGTGTGATCTCGGCTCACTGCAACTTCCGCCTCCCGTGGTCAAGCGATTCTCCTGCCTCAGCCTCCCGAGTAGCTGGGATTACAGGCGCATGCCACCATGCCTGGCTAATCTTTTGTATTTTTAGTAGAGATGGGGTTTCACTGTGTTAGCCAGGATGGTCTTGATCTCCCAACCTCAGGTGATCCGCCCACCTTGGCCTCCCAAAGTGCTGGGATTGCAGGCGTGAGCCACTGCACCTGGCTGTATACCGTTTTCCATAATGACTCTACTAATTTACATTCTCAGCAACCGTGTACAAGTGTTCCCTTTTCTCCACATTCTCACCAAAACTTATCTTTCATCTTTCATCACTTTGTACCTCATAAATTTATACAATTATAAACTGTTGATTTACAATAAAAAAAAAGAAAAATGCTGAAGAGCACATTTATTCCGTATCTGTCTCTAGTCCTTTCCAGTGATTTTTTGTGGTTCTCATTTACTGAATAAAGTAATGCTAACGAAGGGTTCATGCCCTGGTAATTGTCCACTGCTAAAAAAAAATGACTTGTAAATTTATAATTTGAAAAATGTTTGTTTTTCCTGAAGAATTGAGATATTTCTTCCTCTTAGATGCTAGGAGTTTAGTAAGCTACATGTATTTTATTTTTCACCATTTAGTTTTCATTTAGTAGCTCATCTTTATTCTATCACAATTTCAATAAGTCTATCATACTAAGTACATATTAAGAACATGGTATAAATAATAAGCCTTTATTTCAACTAATGAATTTCTTATTATTTAAAGTATTCCCCCTTTTTTTTTTTTTTTTTTTTTTTTTGAGACAGAGTTTCACTCTTGTTGCCCAGGCTGGAGTGCAATGGCACGATCTCGGTTCACTGCAACCTCTGCCTCCCAGGTTCAAGTGATTCTCCTGCCTCAGCCTCTCGAGTAGCTGGGATTACAGGCAAGGGCCACCATGCCTGGCTAATTTTTTTGTATTTTTAGTAGAGACGGGGTTTCTCCATGTTTGTCAGGCTGGTCTTGAACTGCCGACCTCAGGTGATCCACCCGCCTTGGCCTCCCAAAAGTACTGGGATTACAGGCGTGAGCCACCACACCCAGCCCATATTCCCTATGTTTAAGCAGTTGAAGGAAGAAATGTAATTAACCGTATACACATATAAAGCGATAAAAAGGAGTCCAAGTTAAACAACAACAAAAAAAGAAATGGCCTCAATTGCTACTGTTTCTTGTTACCTTTTTCTTTAATTTTTAATGTGATATTTGCAAAAATTATAAATTGAACCTATTAAATTGCCAAGATTTCACTGTGTTTTGGTCTGCAAAAGGGTAATTTCATACAGCTCAACTTAATATTTTTGTGGTAAAAAAATATGATTCTGAAATGTGCAGTTACCTTTAGTTGCATCTCAATTTTTCTTTTAAGTTTGATAAATATATAAGTAATTACTAAAAATATTATGTAGGACATAGATCTATTTTTATAAAATTATTACAACGCTTTCTTCAATGTATTTATCCTTGTAACCCTATACTCTTATGTGTGTATTTATAAACAGAGATGTTTAAAATGATGCTCATTAAATATTAATAATAGTTGTTTCAGAAAATTTTTTCATCAGTAAGAAATGTTTTGTAAATGAAGAAAATCCTACCTGATGTAAAACTTTGCTAGCTGCAGAAATTGTTATTACATAACTGTCAGTATCATCAAAAGTGACTTCAGCTGTAACTTCCAACAAATTAGGGTTTCCAACAAACACAGTCAGTAGTGGTATTTCAAGCATTCGAAAACCTATGGAAACAAGGTTAACAGTTAATATTAGATAATGAAAACTGTAAACTCAATTGAATAATGATTGGCTAATCAGATTTTAGAACATCAACTGAATCTATTCTGAAGGTTGCACAATGACTGCACATACAGTTAGCAATTTATATAGAGTCAACTTTAATAGTTCTGTTACAGGAAATGGGTCCTGATCCAGACCCCAAGAGAGGGTTCTTGAATCTCACACAAGAAAGAATTCAGGGTGAGTCCATAGAGTAAAGTGAAAGCAAGTTTATTAAGAAAGTAGAGGAATAAAAGAATGGCTACTCCATAGAGCTGGTGGTTGCCCATTTTTATGGTTATTTCATGATAATATGCTAAATAAGGGGTGGATTATTCATGCCTCCCCTTTTTAGACTATATAGGGTAACTGCCTGATGTTGCCATGGCATTTGTAAACTGTCATGGTGCTGGTGGGAGTGTAGCACTGAGGACAACCAGAGGTCACTCTGATTGCTATCTTGGTTTTGGTGGGTTTTGCCCAGCTTCTTTACTGCAACCAGTTTTATCAGCAAGGTCTCTATGACCTGTATCTTGTGCTAACCTCGTATCTCATCCTGTGGCTTAGAATGCCTTAACCATCTGGGAATGCAACCCAGTAGGTCTCAGCCTCATTTTACCCAGCTCCTATTCAAGATGAAGTTGCTGTGGTTCAAACGCCTCTGACAGTTCTCAGAAAAATGTAACTTTACAAATATTTTCTCAGAGAAATGTTTCCCTCATTCCTCAGCCTGCTTCTCAAATGCTAATCAAGGTCTCCAATAATACTGGCTACACTGAGTTGGTTGACTGAGTAGAAAAACTGAAGGGTACATGCCCAGTTGAAAGGGCTGCCAGTTAATTGTTGCCAAGAGAAAACTCTTATGCATTTCAAACAAAATATTTCACCAGACCAATTTCTGCCTGCAGGCCACCTGTTTGCAACTTTGCCATACTGAGCACTTCAGTGGAAAAACAGATTTGAAATACTATGTAGTCTAACTGGCATCTTTACCAATCAATAAACCAGAGTTTATAAACACCTGCAGCTGTTTCCCTTAAACCAAAGTGACCTGGCCAGTGCTTCCTAGCCTTTACCCGGAGATTTTGTTGAAATACAGATTGAGCAGGTCTGGAGTGAGGCCTGAGATTCTGCATTTCTAACAAGTGCCCTGGTGATGCTAACACAGGTTCAGGGACCACACCTTCAGTAGATTTGACTAGATTTTTCTGCAGAAACAGGCAACTTAGTTGATTTGTTGATTATTATTTGCTTCCATCAAACTGAACACATATAACTGATTGAGCCCTTTAATAAGCAATTCAGTATATTTTAAAGGGAAAATAATTAGAACATTGCGGTGTTGGTGACAGAATATAGAGAGATTACAATGGAACAGATCCTAAAAATTCAGAAATGGTCAGAATAACAGGTAAATTGTATACTAAGATAAAGTTATATTTTGAAATCAGCAGAGAAAGGATGCATTAGTGAATAAATAATATTGGAACAACTAGCTAACCATACATAATATACCAAAATAAAATAGAGGTAACCTAAAAATTAAATAGAAAGTTAAAACCATAAAATTAAAACTTCTAAAATTACTTGAAGGAAATAGGGACAATTAGTCATACAATCAACAAGAAAGGATTTCCAAGGGTTTCAGATAGAAGGAAGGTTTTCAGGACATTTAATCCACGATATTGAGGGAAATAGATGTTCTCAATTTTTTTCAAAACTTCTAATTTTCACTTATATAAACTACTTGGTTCTGTTTTTTCAAATAAGCCTTTTTTTTTTTTAAAAAAAATAGCATTTTGTCCTTTCATTATGGTTCCTATATCTTCTTTTACTCTGAGAGTTTTATGCATACTCATTTGATAGTGTCTTTCTAATTTTTCTGTTATCTCAAGTTCCTGGAGTCTAAAATTTTCCTATGCCTGTTGACTCTCTGTTATGGTGGGTCATTTCCTTACATAGTTTTAAAGTTCTTTTCCTCAATTTGTGATCAATGGAGACTGATTTTTCCCTGGAAGTCCATATTACCTGGGTCATAAAAGTATTCCTACAGAGAGTAAATTTAAAATATATTTTTAATGTAATAAAATTGTGTGTGTGTGTGTGTGTGTGTGTGTGTGTGTGTGTGTGTTTTAATAGAGACAGGCTCTTGCTATATTGCCCAGGCTGGTCTCAGACTCCTGGGCTCAAGCTATCCTCTTGCCTCGGCCTCCCAAAGTGCTGGGATTAGAGGCATGAGACACCATGCTTGACCCCTACAGAGTTTTGTGCTTCCTTGTGTTGGGGCCCAGGTGTTATTATTTCTCAGCGTGGAATTCTGCATGTGAATGCAGAATTCAGTCTCTGAATGTGATACAGTCTTGAAGTTTTGAATTTTTACGGGAAATTCCTTCTCCCCATTCCAAGCCCATGCTGCTGCTTTAGGAAAACTCTGGTGGACAGAGTTTTCCTAATTCTCTCTTCATGATTTGATGGTCCCAGCTTTCTTTAATGGTCTCCATTCCAACTTCCTTCCACAAAGTAGTAAGGCCCAAAGTCAAACTTTCTGTCAACAATTGGTCATTAAAAGTTGTCTCACTGCCTTATGGTCAGTATCTGGGCCTCACATCCTCCAGGGAGTCATACATTAGCTAATTTCTTTGGTTTGAAGTTCCCTTTTCATTTCTGGTGGCACAATTTTCTTCTTTTCCTTGCCCTTTCTCCCCTACTCCCTCCCTTCCATCTTTCCTTCCTCTCTTCCTATCTCAGTTATTTACTAAAATTTTTTGTTTTATTTTTTCCATTGTGCTATTTCGCTAGCATCTTTAACAATTTTTGTATTACTTTTGTAATAAATAAATAGCTGGAAAAATGGGGGAAAGTATAGAATTCTACTTCAAGGTCTTTTTTTTGGCTTAAAATAAATACAGTCATTCTGTGGTATATACAAAGGGTTGGTTCAAGGAGCCCTGTATATACCAAAATCCACATATACTCAAGTCCCTAAATTGGGCCTGTGGAACTCACACATAGGAAAAGTCAGTGCCTGTGTATATGTGGGTTTCACATCCCGCAAAAACTGTGTTTTCTGTCCGTGTTTGGCTGAACAATATCTGCACATAAGAGGATCTGCAGAGTTCAAACTGGTGTTGTTCAAGGGTCAACTGTAGCTGAAATAAATATAACAATACCAAAGTAATTAAAAAGTTTTCCTTTCAGAGGGCAACAGAAATCTACACTAAAATTCTGTGTCAACTTGGGCTGGTAGCAATCTCATTTTCCTCATTTGTAAAATGAGGATTATAATCTATATTTTTAGGGTTGTTATAAACATTAAATAAAATAATGTATAGAAATATGGCTGAGCGAGGTGGCTCACGCCTGTAATCCCAGCATTTTGGGAGGCTGAGGCAGGTGAATCACTTGAGGTCAGGAGTTTGAGAGCAGCCTGGCCAACATGGCAAAACCCTGTCTCTACTAAAAATACAAAAAACTAGCCGGGAGTGGTGTACACTTGTAATCCCAGCTACTTGGGAGGCTGAGGCAGGAGAATCGCTTGAACCCAGGAGGTGGAGGCTGCAGTGATCCAAGATTGTGCCACTGTACTCCAGCCTGGGCGATGGAGGGGGAGTCTGTCTCACAAATAAATAAATAAATAAAATAATAGTTTAATATAGAGCCCAGTACATAGTAAGTACTCAATAATTAGGCACTAATACTGTTAGTAGTAGAATGCCAACAAGTATGGGAACCAAGGATAAAGTCAGTCAGTATCAAAGAGTATATTTCACATTCAAGAAAAGAAATAACATTTCCTTTTTATATTTTCCGATCAAAACAAACTTACCTTTTGCATTCCGTATGACCTTAGCTTTTAAAACATAAGAGTTTCCCAGATCAATGTATTTCACAATGTTGAGGGATGGTGAATCATCATGTTGAAACCAATAATTACATGGTTTTGAATATATTTTCCATGTTCGTCCATTCCTTTGCCCAAAGTTGTATAAGAACCATGTGCTCTTTAGAAAGGTCATATTGTTGGGTGCACTTTCAGGCATGGTAGCAATGGCTAATGCATTCTTATTATCTAAAATGCTTGTGATGAGGAAGCTGCTGTACCCGGGAAGCACTACAGTCTTCTCTATATCTGTATCTTCAAACAAGGCCTGAACAACTGGAGATTAAACAGAAGAGACTTGGTATTAAATCAAACATCCGATGTTTGCCAAACAAACTGATGTACATAGCTAACAAATACACTGTTTGAGTTTTTAAACTATCTCTTAACCAGAGAACACAGTTGCCAAATTTCAGTCATAATTCAAATTATTTTATAGAAAGTTTATCATAAATAGACCATGCACCTATGCTTTAATGTTTACTGTGAAACTATTGTATAAAATTTTTGGCAGTAAAAAACCATGTAGAGCTAAGTAAAGAAAGCTGATTTTTTTTTTTTTACTATGGAAATACTAAAAGCCTTAAAAACCTAAAATCTTTATTGTGATTCTACAAGAGAAGGATAATGTAGCCAGTTTCCCCAGTACCTAAAGATGTGCTTATTACACAGAAGATACTCAATAAATATTTGTTGAATGGATGAGTGATTGAGTATTTAAGGAGAATATGAAGATTTAGAAGAAAAGAGGTTCTTGGGCAGGACCTTAAGGAACATCATCATTTAAGGAATGGAAAGGGAAAAAGATCCTCTCACGGAGACGAAGAAGAAATGATTGGAGAAAATCAGAGGAGACATCAATGAAGCCAAGGAAGGCTGTTGAAATGAGAGGGAAGTAATCATTATCAAAATATTTTTGATAGGTCATGAAACATGTCATCAATACTCTCTTACTCTAAAATAAAATAGAAACAGTCAGAAGAGGGCTTCATCATTGCCTTAATTATGCACACATGCTCCAATTTCTCCCAGTTCAAACCGACCAACGAAAATCCTTTCCAATATTCCCTCCAACCACCATGTAATTTCTCTTTCCCTTTATAGTAAAACTTCCTGAAAGAGTTACCTTTATTCACTGTCTCCACTCTCCTCTCATAATTTTTCGAACCCATTCCAATCAGACTTTTGTCTACATGACTCCAGCCAACAGCTTTTTGTCAAAGTTCTCAATGACTTTTTTTTTTTTTTTTTTTGATATGGAGTTTCGCTCTTGTCACCCAGGCTGGAGTGCAATGGCGCAATCTTGGCTCACTGCAACCTCCACCTCCTGGGTTCAAACAATTCTCCTGCCTCAGCCTCCCAAGTAGCTGGAATTACAGGCACCTGCCACCAGGCCCAGCTAATTTTTGTATTTTTAGTAGAGACGGGGTTTCACCATGTTGGCCAGACTGGTCTCAAACTCCTGACCTCAGGTGATCCACCTGCCTCAGCCTCCCAAAGTGCTGGGATTACAGGCATGAGCCACCATACCCGGCCAGGGTTCCCAAGGACTTTCACACAGATCCACTGGCCAATTTTCATTCCTTATCTTACCAGACCTATTGGCGTTATGCAACACGGGAGAGGGGCCTCTCCTTCTTGAAACACCTTCCTCACCTGGTTTGACACACTCTTAGTTCTACTCTGACCAGGCCACCCAATATCCTTTAATGATTCTCCTCCATCTCCCTGAACACTAGATATTGCCCTGGATTAGACCTCAAGCCTCTTCCCTTCTATAACTCCACTCATTTTCCAGGTGTTCTCATTTGGTCTTATAGCATTAACTATCATACATATGCTGAAAGTCCTCAAATCTGTGTCTCTAGCCCAGCCATCTTCCCTGAACTCCAGACTTGTATTTCTAAGTGCCCATCTTATTTCTCCACTTGGATGAGTAACAAGCATCTTTAAGTTTAATATGATCTCTCACTTGATTATTGTGATGGCCTCCTAGCTGACTTCTCTGCTTTCCTCCTTGCTTTCTCTCCATCACCTGCCCAGTCTGTTCTCATCACAGCAGCCAAAGTGATCTTGTTGAGAGCTAAGTCAGATCATATCACTTTCTGCTTAACCCTCCAGTGGCTTCCCGTTTAGTCAGAGTAAAACCTAAACCCTTAGAATAAACTGTACTAACTTTTGCTGTGAATCAATAATCCTTTGAGATAGAAACATCCTATAGAACATTGATTCAAAATTATTTTGTTAAAGTGAGGCAAAATCTGCAGGAACTTCCCATTTTCTTTCATTTCTTCTGATCACTCTTCAAGACAAAATAATCTCATAGGAATAAATAATAGGCACTACTATTGATGAAATATCAATGAAGTTATAGCTATATTTTATTATATTAGAAAAAAAAATCTTGGGCAGCGTGTGGCGGCTAATGCCTATAATCCCAGCACTTTGGGAAGCTGAGGCAGGCGGATCACTCGAGGTCAGGAGTTTGAGACCAGCCTGGCCAACAAGGTGAAACCCCGTCTCCTAAAAAGACAAAAATTAGGCCGGGTGCAGTGGCTCATGCCTGTAATCCTAGCACTTTGAGACGCTGAGGTGGGCAGATTGCCTGAGCTCAGGAGTTCGAGAGCAGCCTGGGCAACATGGTGAAACCCCATCTCTACTAAAATACAAAAGAGATTAGCTGGGCGTGGCGGCATGCGCCTGCAATCCCAGCTACTCAGGAGGCTGAGGCAGGAGAATTGCTTGAAGCCAGGAGGCGGAGGTTGCAGTGAGCTGAGATTGCACCACTGCGCTCCAGGCTGGGTGACAGTGCGAGACTCCAAAAAAGCAAAAATTAGCTGGGTGTGGTGGCACATGCCTGTAATCCCAGCTACTCGGGAGGCTGAAGCAGGAGAATCGCTTGAACCTGGGAGGCAGAGGTTGCGGTGAGTCGAGATCGCGTCACTACACTCCAGCCTGGGCGATAGAGCGAGACTCCATTGCCAAAAAAAAAAAAAAACAAAAAACTTTCAGGAACCCAAATATATGTAAACTTTGGTAGGTTGCCAGTTGGACTAAAATTTGAAATCTATTGCTCTATAAATAAGCATTAAAATGCCTTCACAAAAGATAATTTTTCATTTTTTTCTAGCCATCAGAGATGTATGATATTATTATACCTACCTTGTGAATCAAGAGTGAGTTTATAGACATTTCCAGCTTTATTAATCAAAAGGGAACTAGACAAACAAGAGCTCTCATTCACTTCTTCTAATCCAAAGGGCTCTTTCATTTCTGCAATAACTGAGGACAAAAATCCTTTAGGAGTCGTATGTTGCAATACCTTTCTTATGTAAGCTCTTCCAGTTTTCCTAAAAACAAATAAAACCATTAAGCAATTTGGATAAAACAGTGGATTAAATGAACCAATTTATGAACAAATAATTTACAAAGAAAGTATACCACAAATAACTAACAAATATTTGATTAACATTTGTTCAACCCCATTAGTAATCAATGAAATGGCAATTATAACAATGGGATACAATTTTTAACCTCTAAAATTAGCGAAGATCTTTAAATGACAGGGTTCAGTAGTGGTGGGAATTGAGTGAAGATAGGCATTCATCCACTACTGATGGGATTGTAAATTAGAACTAGCTTCCTGGAAAGCAATTTGACATTATGCATTAGGAGCGTGCTAACCTTTTCCCTGCTCTGATTCCATGTCTATTATTATGGCTCTATCCTAAGGAAAGAACTTGAAACAGAGGGGTGGGGGAGAAAGCTTTCTATACAAATATATTCATTAGGGTAAAATTTAGAAATGAGAAATGTCAATAAAAAAACTAAGTGAATGATATTACATGATTTACTTAGAGAAAATGCAATGATTAAAAGGGTGTTTAGAAAGAGTTTTTAACAGTGTAGGGAAAATGATCATATTATAATGTCCAAATGAAGAAAGCAAGTGGAAAAATGTTAAAATGCATATAAAAAGGACTAATTGGCAGTTCATCAAAGTGTTAACAGTCATAATTTCAATTATCTTAATATTTTTCTGCCTTTTAGGAAATTTCTATACTGAGCATGTATTAACTTTATAACCAGGAAAACAATCTGTTTCTAAAATGTTAGCCTTGCATATCCACATGCAAAATATTCAATCTAGACACAGATCTTACAATCATCACAAAAATTAACTCTAGGCCGGGTGCAGTGGCTCACACCGGTAATCCCAGCACTTTGGGAGCTGAGGCAGGCAGATTGGTTGAGCTTAGGAGTTCAAGACCAGCCTAGGCAACATGGTGAAACCCTATCTTTACTAAAAATACAAAAATTAACCAGGTATGGTGGCACATGCCTGTAATCCCAGCTACTCAGGAGGCTGAGGCAGTGGGATCACTTGAGCCTGTGAGGTGGAGGTTGCAGTGAGCTGAGATAGTGCCACTGCACTCCAGCGTGGGTGACAGAGCCAGACCCTGTCTCAAAAAAGAAAATAAAGAACTCTAAATGGGCCACAGACTTAAATATAAAATGTAAAACTATAAAACTCCTAAGAAGATAACATAGGAGAAAATCTAGATGACCTTGGGTATGGCAATTACTTTTTTCCCTCAATTAAAAAAATTATGTTAAAATATATGCTATGGTTTTAATGTATTCCTCAAAGTTCATGTGTTGAAAACACAATTTCCAATGCAAGAGTGTTGAGAGGTGGGACTTTTTTTTTTTTTTTTTTTTTTTTTGAGACAGAGTCTTGCTCTGCCGCCAGCCTGGAGTGCAGTGGCGCCATCTCAGCTCACTGCAACCTGAGAGGTGGGACTTTTAAGGGGTGATTAGATCATGAGGCTTTGCCCTCACGAATGGATGAATGCCATTATTGCAGGAGTGGGTTAATTATTGTGTGAGTGGGTTCCTGATAAAAGAATGAATTCAGTCCCTTCCCTCCCCCTGTCTTTCTCTCTCTCTTTTGCACATGAGTGCTTCATATGCGTGCTCACATGTGCTCACCCTTCTGCCTTCCACCATGGGATGACGGAGCATGAGGCCCTCACCAGATGTGGGCCCCCCAGTCTTGGATTTCCCGCCCTCCAGAACTGTAAGAAATAAATTTCTTTTCTTTATACATTACCCAGTCTGTGATATTCTATTATAGCAGCATGAAACAGACTAAGAAGATACACCTAACAAAATTTACCATCTTCATGCAATGACTGTTGAATACAACACCAAAGACACAATCCATGAAAGAGAAAATTGATAAATTTCTCTCCAGTTTTCCTAAACACAAGTAAAACCATTAAGTAATTTGGATAAAACAGTGGATTACATGAATCAATTTATGAACAAACAGTTTATAAACAAAATATACCAAAAATAGCTAACAAACATTTGATTAACATTTGGTCGACCTCATTTGTAATAGAAGAAATTGCAATTACAACAATGGGATACAATTTTTAACCAATTAGTAAAGATTTTTAAATGACAGTGTTAAGCAGTGAACACTGAATTTGTGTTAAAAATACATGCTATGGTTTGCATGTATCTCTCATTAGTAATTGGTACCTTACTAAAATTACAAACTTATGCTCTGAAATATCCTGTCAAGAGAATTAGAAGACAAGCCACATACTAGGAGAAAATATTTTCAAAAGACATATAAAGGACTGTTATCCAAAATAAACTGTAGGGGAAGGGAGAAGAAACCTCTTTTTCCTCTATTCTCCTTGGTTCTGTAACTGAGACCCTGACAATTATACTGACAAATACAGATTAACAAGAGAAAAACAGGTGGAATTTATTAACATGTGCATTGTGCTTACATGCAGGAAAAACAGCAGTGATGAGTAGCTAAAAAGGGTAGTTAGAACATGGGGCTTCATAACAAATTTTTAGAGAAGTGACAAGACAAAGAAAAATGGGCTTAGGTTTTTAGGGTCAGCAAACTGTGGAAGGTAAATAAATGGAGGGAACTAATGGAAGATAAGGGTTGTTTTGAGAAGGTTTCTTCTGTAAATTCTTTGTGTCTCTGGGTTTATTAATAGTCTAGAGTTGCTTGTGCCTGTAATCCCAGCTACTCTGGAGGAAAGCCTGAGGCAGGAGGGTTGCTTGAGGCCAGGAGTTGGAGACCAGCTTGGATGCAACATAGTGAGATCTTGCCTCTAAAAACATTTAAAAATAAAATAAACTAGCTGGGTGTGGTGGCACATGCCTGTAGTCCCAGCTACATGGGAGGCTGAGGCAGGAGGATTGCTTGAGCCCAGGAGTTCGAGGCTGCAGTGAGCTATGATTGCACCACTGCACTCCAGCCTGGGTAACAGAGTGAGAATCTGTCTCTAAAAAGAAAAAAAAATATATTTATATAGTCTAGAGTTATCTTCAGTGATTAAGAATCATTCTGCCCTTTCTGGTGGGAGGGGGCAAAGAGTTTTTCTTGTGCTTGTTTTTCCTTAATTTCCTTCAGCTCAAATAATCTTTATGCCAAAGTGGCATATTCTTTGTTTTTTTGTTTTGTTTTGTTTGGAAATTGGAGGTCTCACTATTTTGCCCAGACTAGGCTTGAACTTGAGATCCTCCTGCCTCAGACTCTGTAGTAGCTGCACCTACAGGCACACACCACTGCATGGTTCTGGGTTGGCATAATCTGATCTCCTACAATACAAAAATCTCTAATAATATAACAATAAGAAAGTGTACAACCTGATTTTAAAAATGGGCCAAAGACCTTAACAGATACCTCACCAAAGAATACATGCAGATGGCAGGTAACTATATCAAAAAATGTTCTACATCATATACTGATATGGTTTGGCTCAATGTCCCCACCCAAATCTCATCTTGAATTGTAATCCCCACGTGTCAAGGGAGGGACCTGGTGGGAGGTGGTTGGATCATGGGGGCGGTTTTCCCCATGCTGTTCTCATAACAGTGAGGGAGTTCTCATGAGATCTGATGGTTTTAAAAATGGCAGTTTCCCCTGCACTGTCTCTTTCTCCTGCCGCCATGTAAGACGTGCCTTGCTTCCCCTTCATCTTCCACCATGGCCTCCCCAGCCATGCAGAACTGTGAGTCAATTAAACCTCTTTCCTTTATAAATTACCCAGTTTCAGGTATTTCTTTATAGCAGTGTGAAAACAGACTACTGCATATGTCATCAGGGAAATGCAAATTAACAATGAGATACCACCACATGACTATTAGAATGGCAGAAATCCAAAACACTGACAACCCAAATACTGGTGAGTATGTGAATAATAGGAACTCTCGTTCATTGTTGATAGAAATGGAAATGATACAGCCAGTCTGGAGGACAGTTCAGTCATTTTTTACAAAACTAAACATACTCTTAGCATACAATCAAGCAAAATGCCTTGGTATTTACCCAAATGAGTCGAAAACTTATATCTATACAAAACCTGCAAATAGGTGTTTACAGAAGCTTTATTTATAATTGCTAAAACTTGGAAGCAACCAAGATGTTCTTCAGTAGGTAAATGAATAAATAAACTGCGGGATACTCAGATGATGGAATATTATATGATTCAGCACTAAAAAAGAAATGAGCTATCAAGCCATGAAAAGACATGGAGGAAATTTAGATGCATATTACTAAGTACAAGAAGCCTCTGAAAAGGCTATATACGGTATGATTCAAACTATATGACATTCTGGAAAAGGCAAAATTATGGAGACAGCAAAAAGATCGGTGGTTGCCAGGGGTGAGGGGAAGAGAGAGTTGAAGAGGCAAAGCATAGAGAATTTTTAGGGCAGTGAAACTCTTCTGTATGATATTGTGATGATGAATACTTATCATTATACATTTGTTCAAACCCATTGAATTTGCAACACTAAGAGTAAGTCCTAATGTAGATACGTACGCTGGGTGATAAATGATGTGTCAATGTAGGTTCATGAGCTGTAACAAATGTACCACTTTGGTGTGGGATGTGGATAGTGGGGAAGGTTTCGTGTGTGTATGGGACAGAGGTATATAGGAACTCTATTTTCTGCTCAATTTTGCTGTAAAACTGTAATTAATTTAAAAAGTTTATTAATTAATTTTAAAAAGTTAACCTCTTTGTATCTGAAGTCAATGGCCAATGGTCAGGCAGCTACCTTAATTATGAAAGCTGTCTCCCCACTTCTTCCTACTATTGCACATGGGGGGTGATTAAGCGCTGCTGTTCCAGAAGAGGAGAGAAATCAGCCTTTAAAAGAGAAGGAAAGGGGATTTGTGCAATGGAGAATGAATCAGTGAATTTTAGAGGTGGAGAGGAACAACTGTTGAGTGGAGAAAACACTGCAAAAAGACAAATATCATCAAACTAAGCTACCTATGCATTCTAAGCTCCCATTCCAATGCCTGTGCCATTTCCCCAGCCCAGCTGATCCCTTCCACTCCATGCCAATGAAACTGTTTTCATCAAGGTTACTACAGCCTAGAATGGTGCCAAATTCAAAGGTCACATCTTTATTCTTATTTTACTCAAGTCTCTGCAGCATGCATCACAGTTGATCACTCCATACTTTCTAAACACCCTCTTCTCTTGGTTTATATGGCCCCACATTTTCCTGTGTTTTTTCTACCTTACTGGCTGCTCCTTCTCATCCTTCTTTGCTAGGGCCTTCTTCTTAGCCCGGGCTCTCTTCCTGGAGCACCCCAGGGCTTTTCTTCTCTACATACATCCTCCTCTGCAGGTAGAATCACCCATCTGTATCTGAACAATTGCCAAATGCCAAGTTTCCACTCTGACTTTTCTGAGCTATGAATTCATACATCTAACTGCCAACTTCACATCTTCACTTAGATACCTAGCACACATTTCAAACTGAACATTTCCAATGTGGAACTCTGAATTACCCTGCCTGATACCTGCACTTTTCGTCTCGGAAAATGGCGGTAGCGTCCTTCTAGCTACAAACCACAAACCTAGACAATTTTTGATCACTTTCTTGCTCATATCCCTAACAGGCAAATGCATCATCAGATCCTGTCTTCACTCAACTGCACCTGCTCCAGCACCATAATCTGTCACCTGTATTACTTTAATAACTTTCTAAGGGGCTTGGCAGCTTCTACTCACACCCTGTCCCACACTTTTCACAGCAATCAGAGTGATCCTTTCAAAAATGTAAATTGGATTATTTAAAAATAATCCAATAACATTCTCCAATGGTTTCTGCTGACACCAAGAAGAAAATTTACACTCTTCCTGCATCCTATAATACCGTCTATGATCTGGCACTAGCTGACCTCCTTGCTGGCCTTTCCACGACACCATCACTGTGCATCATCTATACTGGCTTTCTTCATGTTTATTAAACACATCCCAATTTTTCTTGCCTCACTGTATGCAACTTCTTTAGCCTGGAAAGCTCTTTCATTGGCTCTTTGCTCTTCATTCTTGGGTCTTTGCTTACCCTTCTCACTCCCTCTGTCACCATATTTACTTTCTTCAAAGCACATGTTAGATATGAATTTGTTTTGGTTTACCTGTTTATCACCTGTATCTGTTTATTAGAATGTCATCTCCATGCAGGGAAGAGTCTTGTCTATCTTGTTTACCACTATATTCCCAGTGCCTAGCACAAGACTTGATATGTAATAGGCACTCAAATATTCATTGAATGAATGAAGAGCTTTACTGAAACCTTTGTGTGTTGATGATACATTCCTTCTGAGCAATTTAGTAAAAACATGGACATTAAGTTATCACTATTAAGATTTTGTGAAGATTCAGGGCCGGGTGCAATGGCTCATGCCTGTAATCCCAGCACTTTGGGAGGCCGAGGCGGGTGGATCACCTGAGGTCAGAAGTTCAAGACCAGCCTGGTCAACATGGTGAAACCCCGTCTCTACTAAATATACAAAAAATTAGTCAGGCGTGGTGGTGGGCGTCTGTAATCCCAGCTACTTGGGAAGCTGAGGCAGGAGAATCGCTTGAACCCAGGAGGCGGAGGTTGCAGTGAGCTGAGATCGCGCCATTGGACTCCAGCCTGGGCAACAAGAACAAAACTCCATCTCAAAAAACAAACAAAAATAATAATAATAATAAAAAGGCCAAGAGGGATTTCTTCAAGGGGACCACTTCAGAAACTGTAATATTTCTTCTGAGGTTTGAGGAACCGAGGGACCAGAATTGGACTCATTCTTGAGAAATATAAAGGGTAGATACTGACTAGACACCCAGAGTTTAATGATTACATATGGAATGGGAAAGAGATAAAGTTATTAAGTAACTTTAGACTTTTTAAGTTAACACACAGTAAAAATCTTGGATAACATGAAAAAGCAAAATAAAACAGGGTGTAAAAGTCCCAATCAAGTAGAAGAAGAAAAGAATGGAAAGAGGAGAAAAAAGAACCTTAAAATAAGGTAAGCAAGAAGAGAAGACAAAAATGAAACATAGAAAAAGGTGGGACAAATAGAAAGTACAAAAGAAGATGGTAGGAATGAAGACAAATATATTAGTAAAAATAATAAATGTAGTTGAACTAAACGCTCCAACTAAAGGACAGAAATTGTTAAATTGGCTAAAACCACAAAATTCATTTATGTCTTTTATGACAGATATACAAAGCAGGTGAAAGTTAAAGGATTGAAATAGTATACCACGAAAATATTATCCAAAGAAGGCTGATGCCATGTATCAATAACAAAAAAAGCTACAAACAAAAACAAAACATTGAAACTCATAACAAAAAACCCCTGATTTAAAAATGGGCAAAGGATTTGAATGAATTTAATGCTACAGAATGGTACATCTTAAAATGGTTAAAAAAAGCATAATAAAAAAGCCACGGTCATGCAAAAAAGCATTATAATGATAAAAATAGTCACTAAATACCAACAAAATGTTCAACTGATCATGAAGATGTAACAATTCTAAACTTATATGTACCTAATAACAATCTCAAAATATACAAGGCAAAATTGACACAACTATAATTTTAAAATGGACAAATCCAGTATACACAGTAGGAAAGTTTAATACAGCTTTCTCAATAATTGATAGATCAAGCAGAAACAAATCATTAAGGATACAGAAAATTGCAATATCACAAGGAACAGGATTAATCTAACAAATAAATATTAATACTGCATTAAATAGGAAAGCATTCAGAACACCCCAAAATATCTGCTCTAGCCCACTGATTGAGTTAAAGTCACTTAAAACACACACACACACACACACATACACACCAGCAAATGCAGAAAGGACACTGTGACCTACCTAAAGGCAGGAGATAAAACTCCCATGTGGAAGGTGTCCTCCTTGCACCTGGAGAAGGACATTGTTTTTATTACTAGAGATGGGGAGCCAAAGCCAAGAGAAATTTGTACAAACAGACCTTGTTAAACTAACCCTTATCTTCCTAGCCACTTCTCCACAGTTAACTACCCTAGCCCAAGCCCCCTTGCCTTGTCACATTTTCACAACTTACTACTTTTTGTTCAACCCAGTATATACATGTTCAACTCTAACTGCTTCTTCAGGGGTCTTCATTTCTTCAGGAGGACTCCTATGTTACACAAAACTTACATTAAGTAAATGTGTATGCTTTTCTCCTGTTAATCTGTCTTATGTCAGTTTAATTCTCAGGCCCAGCCAAAACACCCTAAGAGGATAAATGTAAAATTTTGCCTCCCATACAAAATATTTACTGAAATTGACCATAATGAATGGCCTAGTCCTAGGCCATAAAGTAAGTTTCAAACAATTTCAAAAAACAAACTTTCAAGGAACAAAATATTCCAGTCTTAAACTCTTCCAGAAAATTAAAAAAAAAAGAAAACAATTGTCTATGAGGCTAGTACAATCTTGTTAACAGAACCACAGAAGGGCAATATGAGAAAGAAAAATTACAGGTAAACTTCCTACATGAACATAGATGTTTAAATCTTAAATATTAGCAAACCGAGTCCAGAAATGTATGAAAACAGGTAATATACAATGTCAAAGATAGGTATATTCCAGGACTTTAAGGTTGGTTCAACATTAAATCCACAATATAATTTACAACGTTAAATAAAAAGTTAAAGGAAAAAATTCTATAGATAAGCTCAATAGATACACGAGAAATATTAATTTAAAACCCAAACTCTAAATCTCTTAAACTAGAAAAATAGATAAATTTATTTAAATGATAAAGGGTTTAAGAAAACTATGAAATGCTTAAATATATATATAGAGAGAGAGAGAGAGAAAAAGAAAAAGAGAGAGAGAGTGTCAGGAACAACAATAATTCCATTATCTTCTATTTAACAAAGTATTGGAGGTCCTAGACACTATAACAGGAAAAAGCTATAATATGCTAAGAAACATTAAGGAAAAAACAAAAAAAATTATAGTTGACCCTTGAACAATGCAGAGGTTAGGGATGCCAACCTCCTGTGCAGATGAAAATTCACATATTACTTTTAATTCCCCCCAAATTTAACTACAAGTAGGCTATTGTTGACTGGAAGTCTTACCAATAACATAAACAGTTGATTAACACATATTTTGTATGTTATATGTCTTACATGCTGTATTCTTACAATAAAGTAAGCTACGGGAAAAAATGTTATTAAGAAAATCGTAAGAAAGGGAAAATATATTTATTATTTCTTAAGTGGAATGGATCATCATAAAGATCTTCATCCTAGTCATCTTCTTGATTAGGCTGAGGAGGCCTTACTGACTCAGGGGTGGCAGAGGCAGAAAAATTTCCATGTATAAGTGGACCTGCACAGTTCAAACCCATGTTGTTCAAGGATCAATTGTACTGGCAGGTAATAAGATTATCTACTTAAAAATATTTATACAGTATGGAAATTTCTCAAAGAACTAAAAAGAGATTTACCATTAGATCCAGCAATCCCACTACTGGTTATCTACCCAAAGGAAAAGAAGTCATTATATAAAACAAGACATCTGAATACATATGCTTATTGTAGCATAATTCACATTTGCAAAGATATGGAATCAACCCAAGTGCCATAAACTGATGAGTGGATTTAAAAAATGTGATATATATATATATACATACACACACACACACCATGGAATACTACTCAGCCATACAAAACAATGAAACAATGTCTTTTGCAGCAACTTGGATGGAACTGAAGGCCATTACCCTCAGTGAAGTGACTTAGGAACAGAAAAACCAAACACTGCATGTTCTCACTTAAAAGTAGGAGCTAAGCTATGGGTATGCAAAGGCATACAGAGTGGCCTGTAGATATTGGAGGCTCAGAAGAAGGGAGGGTGGGAGGGGTGAGAGAGGAAAAACTGCCTATTGGGTACAATGTACACTACTTGGGTGATAGGTACACCAAAAATCCAGACTTCACCACTACACAATTCACCCATGTAACCAAAATTCACTTGTACCCTTAAAGCTATTGAAACTTAAAAAAAAAATTAAAAATTTACCTCTACTCCAAAACCCAAGATAATATGTAGAAAAAGTACTAGAATTAAAAGAATTTAGCAAATTTGAAAAATATAAGATTACTCTACAAAAGGCAATCATAAGACTTCTGCTTTTGCTTTAAATGCAGAAAGATGCACTCAAACAAGAAAACAAAACAAAAAGTAGATAAAGTACAAAGTCATGACTTTTCTCTAGTTTGTCAGAGAACTAAGGTCACTAGATAACCAACTAAGCTGAAATCCAGAGCAATAAGCCATTCCAAGGAGAGATTGAACACTAGGACAGCGTCACCTATGGAAGAACATGGGAAGGAGAAACAGTGCTGACCACAACACAAGCAAGTAAGAGTTAGCTGAAGTTGTTAAAAAGGGCCAAAGGCCAGGTATGTGCTAGCATGTGAGTCTGGAAGTACTTGGGCGCCTGACAAATGGGAGTCTGCACTCACTTGCAAACTCCACTGGCTTCCATTGAAGGCTCGTGGCAAAGACTGGGGAAGGGCCATAGACCAGAGACAGCCACCATTGGTGGTGCAGGTAGTTTGTGGGGATCAGAGGTTGGGAGGAAACAGGCCTGAAGCATCACCTACTTCCCTGAACCTTCTCTCATAGGAAGTAAAAGCCTTAAACCACAGGAGGTTGGGCATTAGATGCTTTTGCACACAGGCCTCAAAAGAGCTGATCAGTGGCTGAGGGTTAGGGGGCATCAGGAGGGTGCTGGCATGGAAGTCCTGCCTCCCTCCCTCACCCTTTTCCCTTATAAAGCAAACGCTTTTACCTACTGTCAGAGAAGAAGTAAAGGTACACTCACCCACAGGGCCCAGGGAAAGACATGTAACAGAGGAGGGAAGGATGAAATAATAACTTCTATCCCTTAAGATGAATCAGGAAGCTGTCTTGGTCCTAAAATTCTAAAAGAACTAATAATTATTAGTTCTTTTCTGCTAATAATTGTTAGCAGAAAGATAATTATCTTACTGCTAGGGGAAGAGCACGAAATTCCCACCCAAGATCTATCTAACAGTGATATAAGGCAGAGTTTGGTTGCAAGAGGTAATTTCTATTACCAGGTTTTGGGGTTTTTATTTTCCTTAATGGAACTTGACAAGCTGAGTCTAACATATAAATGGAAGACCAAATGCCAAGAAAGGGCACGGGGAGGGGGTTATTCACATGTGTTTCATAATTAGAGTCATTTAGTCAGTGTGTCACGGAGAAGACAAATACACCAGTGAAATAGGAGAGAGGACAGGAGCAGACAAATGCATATACGGGACCAGGATATATCACAGGGCAGTGCTGCAGATCAGTTGGGGAAAGGAGGGGCTTGTATGGACAATAGATTACCCATATTAAAAAAAAAAAAAAAAAAGAAAAACTGGATTCCCACTTCACACTAGGCACATCAATTCTACATAGGTAAAATTGAAAAGCCGGGCGGGGTCGCTCACACCTGTAATCCTAGCACTTTGGACAGCCAAGGTGGGCAGATGACTTGAGCCCAGGAGTTCAAGGCCAGCCTGGGCAACATGGCAAAAACCCATCTCTACAAAAAAAAACAAAAAAGCAACTCCCACCCCCGCAAAAAAAGAAACTAGCTGGGCATGGCGGCACGTGTGTGCCTGTAGTCCCAGATACTCAGGAGGCTGAGGTGGGAGGACCACTTGAGCCAGGAAGTTCAAAGCCGCAGTGAGTCATTATTGCACCACTGCACTCCAGCATGGGTGACAGAGGAAGACCCTGTCGAAAGAAGGAAAGAGAAAGAAAGAAAGGAAGGAAGGAAGGAGGGAGGGAGGGAGGGAAGGAAGGAAGGAAGGAAGGAAGGAAGGAAGGAGGGAAAAGTTTGACATGATTCCAAAACAATATAGGAGAATAGCTACATAACTTGTAGCATATTCATGTGAGTGAATTCCAGCCTATATATCAATATGGAGTAATTTCAAAAGTATAATGTTATATGAAAAAGGCAAGTCATACATTTCATAAAACTAGTGTTAAAGCTCTAAAGCAAAACTTTAAAATATGTTAACATAAAATCCAAGACAGTGCTTATCTCTGGGGGACAAGGGTCATGGCGGGGGTGGAGGGGAGGCAGGAGAGAAAAAATATGCTGCCCAGAAGGACTGCTGAAAGGATGAAGGGACCCCAACACAGTGATAGAATTCCAGGGGCCGGCAGGGCAGGGGTAGTTTTCACTAGTGGCAAGGGTAGCATTGCCCATAACCAAAGACTCTGGAAGTCTCCAACAGGAGGACTTCTTGTCCCTTTACCTCACCTCTCTTCTTTCACCCAAACTCTGAGGCTTAAGAAAAGACCAGAAGAACAAGCATGAAGGAAGAGAGTGGCGGTTGGGGGAAGGTTCCAGGCTGAGAGGAACAGCATGCTCAAAGGCCTCCAGGCCAAAAGGAGCAGGACGTGTTACAGAAACCAAAGGAAAACCAGAGTGACTTCACCGCAGTGAACAAAGCAAAGAGGTCACTCAAGAGAGTGGAACCAGGTCAGTGGGGCTTTTTGAGTTCCAGTAAGGAACTTGGGTGTTATTCCAGGAGAATCTAGGATTCTCCAAACAAGGGCTCAAGCCCCAGGAAAATACTCTTTCGATGCTGTATACTCCCCTTTTATAGACTTAGTCAACTGTAATTACATACTTGTCTGCTTCTGGGGCTAGAATATAAGCTCACAGAATGAGGTGCTTGAATGTCATGCTCACCACTCTGTTGCAGCACCCGCCACAGTGCCTTGCTGGTAGTCAGTGTTAAATGATGATTGGTGGAGTAAGTGAATGGCTCTCTCTGCCTTATGCCCTGACTACCTGGATAACTGCCTTTGGCCTCCTGCCGACCTGAGAACACTGGGATCCCAAATTCCTCACCTGCCCAGTTGAAGTACCACTTGCTCTCCAGGTCTCTGACCCTGGTTTTGCTCGTATTTCCTGCCTTGAAGCTACCCATTCCCTAGTTTCTGTGCAAACAGAGCAAAGTTATTGAATCTTATCACAGATTGTGCTGTTCTGGTTTTTAAATATTCTAATCCTTAAGAGAATGACCATATGCTTTTAAAAATAATTAGAATATAAGAAATTAAGATAAACACTGGTATAATATTACTCATATTAATATTAAAAGATTGAAAAGTGATTCTGTAGGTTTTCTATAGAAAAACACCTACATAAACACAAACTAGCTGATCTGGAACATCACACATAAAAGATCCACCTAGAGCAAAAAATAATTCTAGAGATTACTGACACTTTTGTCAGAGACAAAATTTGTACAATCCTCATGAGAAAAAATATTGCTGATGTTTGTTATATTAGGTCTGATTCCCATGTTCACCTCTGCTTCTGAGTGAGCTGCCTCACGGTGCAAGGTATTGTTAGCTGTGGGACAAGATATGTATTGACAGCCCCAAACACATATAATATACAGATTCCAACCTGGTATAAGAATAGAGTCCACCACTTGGAGACAAGGTTAATATCTTAGTCTATCTGGGCTGCCATAACAAAATACCATAAACCAGGTAGCCTATAAACAGCAGAAATTTATTTCTCACAGCTCTAGAGGCTGGAAAGTCTGAGATCAAGGTGCCAGCAGATTTGGTATCTGGTGAGGGTCCACTTTCTGGTTTATAGATGGTGTCTTCTACGTGTGTCCTTCCATGGTGGAAGGGCCTAGCTGGCTCTGTCCTTCAGTCCTTCGTGGTGGAAGGGCCTAGCTAGCTCTCTGGGGTCTCTTTCATAAGGACACTAATTCCATTCATGAGGGCAGAGTCCTCATGACCTAGTCACCTACCAAGGGCCCCACCTCCTAATACTACCACCTTGAGGGTTAGGATTTCCACATATGAATTTTTGGGGAAAACAGATATTTAGACCACAGCAGTGAGTTTCTGGTAATCTGAAATTGTTGAAATTGTTTCTTTTTTAGTTGGTAGATTTGGGGGTTATATAATTCATATTCTTTTTTTTTTGAGACAGAGTCTCACTCTCTCACTCAGGCTGGAGTGCAATGGCAATGGCACAATCTTGGCTCGCTGCAACCTCGGCCTCCTGGGTTCACGCAACTATTGTGCCTCGGTCTTCCCAGTAGCTGGGATTACAGATGTGAGCCACCACACCTGGCTAATTTTTTTTATTTTTAGTAGAGATGGAGTTTCACCATGTTGGTCAGACTGGTCTCCAACTCCTGGTCTCAACTGATCTGCTGGCCTTGGCCTCCCAAAGTTCTGGGATTACAGGTGTGAGCCATGGCACCCAGCCAGAATTCATATTCTGAATAAGAGTTATTAGGCCTTAAAGGTAGCTTTAAGGGTTATTGACTCTTACTGTAAGCATTTCTGAGAATTCTGTATATTGTTCAATGCAATATTTCATAAAAGATAGCCTCCACTACATTAAATGTGTTGGTCTCTAGGATATACAAGAATTGTCATTTGAGTAAACTCAGTGGATAGGAAGTATCCAGTGTTGTCCAGAATATTTTTGATACTCACGAAACACATTTCTATAGCTTGGCCTGATGGCACTGATATAAATGGTCCTAGGTTTCTAAAATTGGGGCAGCATGCAAGACATCTAGGAGTTTATAAATGTATTTGGCCTTGCGGGGTGTCAAAAAAATACTTACTCTATTTGACCAAGAAAATTATTCAAAAAAGTAGGCCCAAAAATTTAGATTCTATTGGCCAGCTGCAGTGGCTCACACTTGTAACCTCAGCAGTTTGGGAAGCTGAGGTGGGTGAATCCCTTGAGCTCAGGGGTTTGAGACCAGCCTGGGCAATATGGTGAAACCCCATCTCTACAAAAAATACAAAACTTAGCCGGGCTTGGTGGTGTGTGCCTGCAGTCCCAGCTATTCTGGAGGCTGGGGCCAGAGCATTGCTTGAGCCTGGGAGATTGAGGCTGCAGTGAGCTGTCATCGCACTACTGCACTCCAGCCTGGATGACAGAGCAAGACCCTATCTCAAAAAATTTAAAAAGTAGATTCTAGAAACCAATATGCCATCTAAATAAATGCATATCACTACCCAGAGTGTATCACTTTTCCATAGTGTATATTGCCGAACTTCTTGCTGTAGATCGTTTCCTGGGGTTCGTTCTCAGGTACATATGCAAAAAAGATAATTTCATCTAAGGAGGTGTGCTGTGGGGCAAGCGCAGTCTCAAAGCCCATATCTGGAGGCTGGAAACAGAGAAAAGAAAATATTATATTTAAACTACTTTATACTTCAATTATGACAAAATTGAAGTCACAGATTTATTTCCAGTTCACATTAAAACAATACTGGTTTACTTATCAATTGGAGAAATAAGTCAACTGTTCTGTTGGAACATCCATGTGTGTGCAAGGGAAGATGTATTTTCCTGTTAAGGAGGAATGGAAGTTCTGATGACTAAGATGTGGTGTAAGATTCCTATGCCCTTCGTGGATGGTTGGAGTGAAAGGGTACATGGAAACTTGACTCACATTGTGGGTGTGTGAGGAGCCTGGAGATGCAGATTTTAGAACTGGGTTCTTATTTGAAGTTTTATTTAGGAAAGGGCCCGTGAAATCCCTGTCCTCACTTGCTGCTCCTGATCTCGTGCTAGAGACTCTGGACAGCTGCTGTCTGAGTCTCCCAACTGGCAGCATAAGCTGTTCTCCTTTCCTGACTCACAGACCTCCCCTTGCAGTCTACCCAGGCACTTCTGGCCTAGATTTCTGATCTATAGGTCTTTCTTTTCAACACACCTTTCTCTAATCCTGACCCTGTCCTGCTTGGGGAACTTTTAGGGGAGAGAAGAGAGGTAGGGACCATCCCCAAAGGGGCTGCTGGAGTTGACTTTGTTGCTATGAGACAAGGTGTGGGTGGTAGATCGTGCAGACTGGTTGGGGACACATCTGTCCCATAGTGCCTCCAAGACTCATCTTCTGTCATGCTTTTTTTCCTAGTTACTGAATTTTGGGAGTGCACTGAGGAGAAATGGGAAATAGATGCCAGGAAAATCAATGTGGGATTGAGCCAAATGGCTTGAGGACTCTTGAAAATCACTGAAATGGCTAAACATCTTTAGAATTCTGTATGACACTGTAGCCTGGGAGTGGCAAGTGTATCCTAGGGAAAGTGTATGCAAGTCCAATGAAAGGCAGCAGGTGGCTAAGAGCACAGGCCCCGGAGCCAGTTGCCTGGGATAGATGTCTAATCCCAATAACTAACCAGCCTGTCTGTGCCTCGCTTTCTTCATAAGTGAAATAGGAATAAATCGTCGTTATAAAGATTGAGAGCTCCAACACTGTAATAAGAGCCAGCGATTATTTTTATCCAGAGAGAATGCATGCATAGTTTGTGGAGAGGGAAGTGATATTGCTGAGTATGGCTTCGTCAAACTTGTCCTAAGTATACAAATACCTGTAGGGTTTTTTTTTCTTTTAATAATTTAAACTTTCACATAAGGGAACTAAGAAACTTTCTACAAATTGTGAAGTTGGTGAAAAATGAGGTAAATGCTTTTTTTTAGTTAGTTCTACCCTCCTGCTCACATCATTCGCTTTGTATAAATGCGGAATTCACACCCCAGACTTGGGCAAAGACACAGGGAGTCACATGTGGCATCTTAACTCTCCCAAGGAAGTTCCTGCCCTCATTCTCTATGCATGTCTCAGAGAGGGGAAGATAAACACCATCCTCTCAACTGCAGCTTTGGCCTGGTAATTGGAATGATCTTTTAAAACCAGATTCATCTTTTGTTCCTTTTCCTTTAAGTCAAAGGGCAGGTTTTACTAACCCCAGTCAAAAATGTTTGATAATTTGCTGATGGTTTGAGAGTGTCCAGTTTTGTAACTGGTGCCCAAGGATGAGCTACCTTCACAAGCAGCATATTATACATTAAACTATTATAAAAACCGGTATCAAGTGTCATCTGTAAAGAAGATAACTCCTTTTTTTGTTGTCACTAGAAAAAGAAGAAACCAGGGAGAAGGGTTAATAGGAAAGAAGAAAGGTAGACCACAGCTCATGTTCCTTTTTTTTTTTTTTTGAGTCAGGGTCTTGCTCTGTTGCCCAAACTGGAGTTCAGTGGCACGATCACAGCTCACTTCAGCAGCGTGATCGCAGTTCACTTCAGCCTCAACTTCCCAGGTTCAAGTGATCCTCCTGCCTCAGCCTCCCAAGAAGCTGGAACTACAGATGAATGCCACCACACCAGGCTAATTTTTTAATTCTTTGGTAGAGACGGGGTTTCACCTTGTTGCCCAGGCTAGTCTCCAACTCCTGGGCTGAAGCGATCAACCCACCTCAGCCTCCCACAATGCTAGGATTACAGGCATGAGCCATGGCGCCTGGCCTCACAACCCATGTTTCTTCAGGGACAACCTTAAGAGGTAGAGAATCAATCCTACCTTGGCCTGGGTTGGGAGTAATGGTTCTAGCTTAGAAGTAATGGTTCTAGCTTAGAATGTTTAGTGGTGTTCTGTTGCGAAGATATTTGCATGAAGATATTCTAGGTGGAATTGAAGCTATATAATTCCATATGGGACTTGGAAGAAGATTTGGAGATGTTTGTGGCACATGGAGGTTCTTCCTTTAGTTAAATAGAGCAAACTGCATTAATGAGTTTGTCCCAAGGAAAATACTTTCCCATTTTCCCATTATTCTATGTATTGAATGTGGCATCTATTCTTAAAATAAGGCAAACTGTTTCAATGCATTATATACTGACCTGTCCAAAAAGATTTCTAGAATTTCCAAAGGCTGTGGGTGGTCCACTAGCTTCAAAGCGACCCAGAGTCAGCTTATGTAGGAATCCCAAGTGATCATAGTATAATGTGAAAATTCTCTCAGTAACACTTCCGACTGCACTGTATCTTCCCATTCCTATTAGGAAATACAGAGAAGTGTCTTGATACTGATGTAACAGAAGTCGAAAAACTTTAATATCATACCTTGTAAAGACACCTTCATTTAAACTAAGAGGTGGAAGTAGGGCCCTGAGACTCCTGAATTAGGAAAATGCATGTTAGTTTTTGTTAAGTCCCTGGAAAGCCTTTTCCAGACTCCATGTCACTACAGAATCTGTTCACTGAAGTAGGGGAAGAAACAAACAGAGGGGATGTTTAATTAAGAGATCTAGAGGAAAAGCGGTTAGGTCTCTCTAGTAGTGGTTTCTCTTCCTATTACCAGCAAATCAGATTCCTGAAGAGGTAAAAGTCAGCAAGAAAACAATCCTTAGGAAGGCAAGGCGAATCATCAGTAGACATTGGTCATTAAATTATACTAGGATTAATATGTTGAACCAAACTGGGCGTCCTGTGGTTCTCTCATCCTTAGGGCGCCACGTTGAGAGGCACTGTCAGTAATCAGATGGTGCCGCAGCATTCACTTAGCCAAACAGACACTGGTCCTGAGACAGGGTCCCCTCCCTTGGAAGGAGCTAGAGTGAAAGATCATGGCTCAGGATGAAAAAGACTAATTTCTGCACACTGCATCCCACCCAAACCCACCCAGTTAGCTCAGGCTCTCCTAGCTCATTCTACACATTGGAGTGTCCAGGACTCAGTTTTTAGATTACTTCTCTCACTATCTTTGGAGATCTCATTCAGTTTTAGGATTTTAAATCCATCTTTAGATGGATAATTCCCAAATTTAAGTCTACCATCTAGTGCTCTTCCCTGAAGTCTAGGCTTATGTAGCTAACTGCCTTCCAACAGCTTCATTCGATGTTGGTTAGGCCTCTCAAAGTGAACTCATTCCAGACTGAGCTCCTGATCCTCACGCAAACCTCCTCCAGCCCCAGCCTTCCTCACCTTCATTAATGGCAGCTGCATTATTGCTGTTGCTTAGCCCAAAAACCTCAATGTCATTCTTTTTATTTTTTTATTTTTTTTTTATTTAAGTTTTAAGGTACATGTGCACATTGTGCAGGTTAGATACATATGTATACATGTGCCATGCTGGTGCACTGCACCCACTAACTCGTCATCTAGCATTAGGTATATCTCCCAATGCTATCCCTCCCCCCTCCCCCCACCCCACCACAGTCCCCAGAGTGTGATATTCCCCTTCCTGTGTCCATGTGATCTCATTGTTCAATTCCCACCTATGAGTGAGAATATGCAGTGTTTGGTTTTTTGTTCTTGCGATAGTTTACTGAGAATGATGATTTCCAATTTCATCCATGTCCCTACAAAGGACATGAACTCATCATTTTTTATGGCTGCATAGTATTCCATGGTGTATATGTGCCACATTTTCTTAATCCAGTCTATCATTGTTGGACATTTGGGTTGGTTCCAAGTCTTTGCTATTGTGAATAATGCCGCAATAAACATACGTGTGCATGTGTCTTTATAGCAACATGATTTATAGTCCTTTGGGTATATACCCAGTAATGGGATGGCTGGGTCAAATGGTATTTCCAGTTCTAGATCCCTGAGGAATCGCCACACTGACTTCCACAATGGTTGAACTAGTTTACAGTCCCACCAACAGTGTAAAAGTGTTCCTATTTCTCCACATCCTCTCCAGCACCTGTTGTTTTTAATGATTGCCATTCTAACTGGTGTGAGATGGTATCTCATAGTGGTTTTGATTTGCATTTCTCTGATGGCCAGTGATGATGAGCATTTTTTCATGTGTTTTTTGGCTGCATAAATGTCTTCTTTTGAGAAGTGTCTGTTCATGTCCTTCGCCCACTTTTTGATGGGGTTGTTTGTTTTTTTCTTGTAAATTTGTTTGAGTTCATTGTAGATTCTGGATATTAGCCCTTTGTCAGATGAGTAGGTTGTGAAAATTTTCTCCCATTTTGTAGGTTGCCTGTTCACTCTCATGGTAGTTTCTTTTGCTGTGCAGAAGCTCTTTAGTTTAATTAGATCCCATTTGTCAATTTTGCCTTTTGTTGCCATTGCTTTTGGTGTTTTGGACATGAAGTCCTTGCCCATGCCTATGTCCTGAATGGTAATGCCTAGGTTTTCTTCTAGGGTTTTTATGGTTTTAGGTCTAACGTTTAAATCTTTAATCCATCTTGAATTGATTTTTGTATAAGGTGTAAGGAAGGGATCCAGTTTCCCCAGTACCATTTATTAAATAGGGAATCCTTTCCCCATTGCTTGTTTTTCTCAGGTTTGTCAAAGATCAGATAGTTGTGGGTATGTGGCATTATTTCTGAGGGCTCTGTTCTGTTCCATTGATCTATATCTCTGTTTTGGTACCAGTACCATGCTGTTTTGGTTACTGTAGCCTTGTAGTATAGTTTGAAGTCAGGTAGTGTGATGCCTCCAGCTTTGTTCTTTTGGCTTAGGATTGACTTGGCAATGCGGGCTCTTTTTTGGTTCCATATGAACTTTAAAGTAGTTTTTTCCAATTCTGTGAAGAAAGTCATTGGTAGCTTGATGGGGATGGCATTGAATCTGTAAATTACCTTGGGCAGTATGGCCATTTTCACGATATTGATTCTTCCTACCCATGAGCATGGAATGTTCTTCCATTTGTTTGTATCCTCTTTTATTTCCTTGAGCAGTGGTTTGTAGTTCTCCTTGAAGAGGTCCTTCACATCCCTTGTAAGTTGGATTCCTAGGTATTTTATTCTCTTTGAAGCAATTGTGAATGGGAGTTCACTCATGATTTGGCTCTCTGTTTGTCTGTTGTTGGTGTATAAGAATGCTTGTGATTTTTGTACATTGATTTTGTATCCTGAGACTTTGCTGAAGTTGCTTATCATCTTAAGGAGATTTTGGGCTGAGACAATGGGGTTTTCTAGATATACAATCATGTCGTCTGCAAACAGGGACAATTTGACTTCCTCTTTTCCTAATTGAATACCCTTTATTTCCTTCTCCTGCCTAATTGCCCTGGCCAGAACTTCCAACACTATGTTGAATAGGAGTGGTGAGAGAGGGCACCCCTGTCTGTGCCAGTTTTCAAAGGGAATGCTTCCAGTTTTTGCCCATTCAGTATGATATTGGCTGTGGGTTTGTCATAGATAGCTCTTATTATTTTGAAATACGTCCCATCAATACCTAATTTATTGAGAGTTTTTAGCATGAAGGGTTGTTGAATTTTGTCAAAGGCTTTTTCTGCATCTATTGAGATAATCATGTGGTTTTTGTCTTTGGCTCTGTTTATATGCTGGATTACATTTATTGATTTGCGTATATTGAACCAGCCTTGCATCCCAGGGATGAAGCCCACTTGATCATGGTGGATAAGCTTTTTGATGTGCTGCTGGATTCGGTTTGCCAGTATTTTATTGAGGATTTTTGCATCAATGTTCATCAAGGATATTGGTCTAAAATTCTCTTTTTTGGTTGTGTCTCTGCCCGGCTTTGGTATCAGAAGGATGCTGGCCTCATAAAATGAGTTAGGGAGGATTCCCTCTTTTTCTATTGATTGGAATAGTTTCAGAAGGAATGGTACCAGTTCTTCCTTGTACCTGTGGTAGAATTCGGCTGTGGATCCATCTGGTCCTGGACTCTTTTTGGTTGGTAAACTACTGATTATTGCCACAATTTCAGCTCCTGTTATTGGTCTATTCAGAGATTCAACTTCTTCCTGGTTTAGTCTTGGGAGAGTGTATGTGTCGAGGAATTTATCCATTTCTTCTAGATTTTCTAGTTTATTTGCATAGAGGTGTTTGTAGTATTCTCTGATGGTAGTTTGTATTTCTGTGGGATCGGTGGTGATATCCCCTTTATCATTTTTTATTGTGTCTATTTGATTCTTCTCTCTTTTTTTCTTTATTAGTCTTGCTAGCGGTCTATCAATTTTGTTGATCCTTTCAAAAAACCAGCTCCTGGATTCATTGATTTTTTGAAGGGTTTTTTGTGTCTCTATTTCCTTCAGTTCTGCTCTGATTTTAGTTATTTCTTGCCTTCTGCTAGCTTTTGAATGTGTTTGCTCTTGCTTTTCTAGTTCTTTTAATTGTGATGTTAGGGTGTCAATTTTGGATCTTTCCTGCTTTCTCTTGTGGGCATTTAGTGCTATAAATTTCCCTCTACACACTGCCTTGAATGCGTCCCAGAGATTCTGGTATGTTGTGTCTTTGTTCTCGTTGGTTTCAAAGAACATCTTTATTTCTGCCTTCATTTCGTTATGTATCCAGTAGTCATTCAGGAGCAGGTTGTTCAGTTTCCATGTAGTTGAGCGGCTTTGAGTGAGATTCTTAATCCTGAGTTCTAGTTTGATTGCACTGTGGTCTGAGAGATAGTTTGTTATAATTTCTGTTCTTTTACATTTGCTGAGGAGAGCTTTACTTCCAACTATGTGGTCAATTTTGGAATAGGTGTGGTGTGGTGCTGAAAAAAATGTATATTCTGTTGATTTGGGGTGGAGAGTTCTGTAGATGTCTATTAGGTCCGCTTGGTGCAGAGCTGAGTTCAATTCCTGGGTATCCTTGTTGACTTTCTGTCTCGTTGATCTGTCTAATGTTGACGGTGGGGTGTTAAAGTCTCCCATTATTAATGTGTGGGAGTCTAAGTCTCTTTGTAGGTCACTCAGGACTTGCTTTATGAATCTGGGTGCTCCTGTATTGGGTGCATATATATTTAGGATAATTAGCTCTTCTTGTTGAATTGATCCCTTTACCATTATGTAATGGCCTTCTTTGTCTCTTTTGATCCTTGTTGGTTTAAAGTCTGTTTTATCAGAGACTAGGATTGCAACCCTTGCCTTTTTTTGTTTTCCATTTGCTTGGTAGATCTTCCTCCATCTTTTTATTTTGAGCCTATGTGTGTCTCTGCACGTGAGATGGGTTTCCTGAATACAGCACACTGATGGGTCTTGACTCTTTATCCAATTTGCCAGTCTGTGTCTTTTAATTGGAGAATTTAGTCCATTTACATTTAAAGTTAATATTGTTATGTGTGAATTTGATCCTGTTATTATGATGTTAGCTGGTGATTTTGCTCATTAGTTGATGCAGTTTCTTCCTAGTCTCGATGGTCTTTACATTTTGGCATGATTTTGCAGCGGCTGGTACCGGTTGTTCCTTTCCATGTTTAGCGCTTCCTTCAGGAGCTCTTGTAGGGCAGGCCTGGTGATGACAAAATCTCTCAGCATTTGCTTGTCTGTAAAGTATTTTATTTCTCCTTCACTTATGAAACTTAGTTTGGCTGGATATGAAATTCTGGGTTGAAAATTCTTTTCTTTAAGAATGTTGAATATTGGCCCCCACTCTCTTCTGGCTTGTAGGGTTTCTGCTGAGAGATCCGCTGTTAGTCTGATGGGCTTCCCTTTGAGGGTAACCCGACCTTTCTCTCTGGCTGCCCTTAACATTTTTTCCTTCATTTCAACTTTGGTGAATCTGACAATTATGTGTCTTAGGGTTGCTCTTCTCGAGGAGTATCTTTGTGGCATTCTCTGTATTTCCTGAATCTGAATGTTGGCCTGCCTTGCTAGATTGGGGAAGTTCTCCTGGATAATATCCTGCAGAGTGTTTTCCAACTTGGTTCCATTCTCCCCATCACTTTCAGGTACACCAATCAGACGTAGATTTGGTCTTTTCACATAGTCCCATATTTCTTGGAGGCTTTGCTCATTTCTTTTTATTCTTTTTTCTCTAAACTTCCCTTCTCGCTTCATTTCATTCATTTCATCTTCCATTGCTGATACCCTTTCTTCCAGTTGATCGCATCAGCTCCTGAGGCTTCTGCATTCTTCACGTAGTTCTCGAGCCTTGGTTTTCAGCTCCATCAGCTCCTTTAAGCACTTCTCTGTATTGGTTATTCTAGTTATACATTCTTCTAAATTTTTTTCAAAGTTGTCAACTTCTTTGCCTTTGGTTTGAATGTCCTCCCGTAGCTCAGAGTAATTTGATCGTCTGAAGCCTTCTCTCAGCTCGTCAAAGTCATTCTCCATCCAGCTTTGTTCCGTTGCTGGTGAGGAACTGCGTTCCTTTGGAGGAGGAGAGATGCTCTGCGTTTTAGAGTTTCCAGTTTTTCTGTTCTGTTTTTTCCCCATCTTTGTGGTTTTATCTACTTTTGGTCTTTGATGATGGTGATGTACAGATGGGTTTTTGGTGTGGATGTCCTTTCTGTTTGTTAGTTTTCCTTCTAACAGACAGGACCCTCAGCTGCAGGTCTGTTGGAATACCCTGCCGTGTGAGGTGTCAGTGTGCCCCTGCTGGGGGGTGCCTCCCAGTTAGGCTGCTCGGGGGTCAGGGGTCAGGGACCCACTTGAGGAGGCAGTCTGCCGGTTCTCAGATCTCCAGCTGCGTGCTGGGAGAACCACTGCTCTCTTCAAAGCTGTCAGACAGGGACATTTAAGTCTGCAGAGGTTACTGCTGTCTTTTTGTTTGTCTGTGCCCTGCCCCCAGAGGTGGAGCCTACAGAGGCAGGCAGACCTCCTTGAGCTGTGGTGGGCTCCACCCAGTTCGAGCTTCCCGGCTGCTTTGTTTACCTAAGCAAGCCTGGGCAATGGTGGGCGCCCCTCCCCCAGCCTCGCTGCTGCCTTGCAGTTTGATCTCAGACTGCTGTGCTAGCCATCAGCGAGATTCCGTGGGCGTAGGACCCTCCGAGCCAGGTGTGGGATATAGTCTCGTGGTGCGCCATTTTTTAAGCCGGTCTGAAAAGCGCAATATTCGGGTGGGAGTGACCCGATTTTCCAGGTGCGTCCGTCACCCCTTTCTTTGACTCGGAAAGGGAACTCCCTGACCCCTTGCGCTTCCCAGGTGAGGCAATGCCTCGCCCTACTTCGGCTCGCGCACGGTGCGCGCACCAACTGGCCTGCGCCCACTGTCTGGCACTCCCTAGTGAGATGAACCCGGTACCTCAGATGGAAATGCAGAAATCACCCGTCTTCTGTGTCGCTCACGCTGGGAGCTGTAGACCGGAGCTGTTCCTATTCGGCCATCTTGGCTCCTCCCCTCAATGTCATTCTTAATTCCTCTCTCTCATACCCTGCATCGAATCCATCAGAAATCCTATTGACTCTAGCCTCATGATATATGTAGACTCCATCCACTTCTCACCTCTGTCACCACTATCACCCTGTACAAGCCACTGTCATCTCTCTTGTGCCTCCGAATTGGTCTCTGTGATTCTGCCCATAGCTCCCTTCAGTCTGTTCTCAAAAAAGCATCCAAAGTAACACTTTCAAAATGTTAAGTCACTTCATCCACTCTCCTCATCAAAACTCTCCATGGCTTCAACCTCTCTCTCAGTAAGAGTCAAAATCCTTGCAATGCCCTCCAAGGGCCACCGTGGTATGAATTCCAGTCCCTCTCTGACCTTATCTCCTATGACTTTCTGCAATGCTTACTCTGCTTCAGCTACACGAGCCTGAGGTTGTCTATCTCCACAATTAGATAATCTGTTACAGGAATAGCTGGGCTCCTTCCTCTCCAATCTCACACTTTTAATATATTGTTCTTGCCTGTCTAGACTAATTCAGCCCTCCAATACAATGATGAATAGAGGCAGTGGTAGATGACATAGCAAAAGCTTTTGGTGTGTTATTAGAAAATATGATTGGATATTTGCTATAGCTTCTTTCCCCCCTAGATACTCTTAATCAAGAAGTTACATTCTATTCATGCTTTAATAAATGTTTGTTTAAAAAATCATGAATGGCTGGGAGCAGTGGCTCATGCCTGCAATCCCAACACTTTGGGAGGCTGAGGCGGGCAGATCACCTAAGGTCAGGAGGTGGACACCAGCCTGGCCAACATGGTGAAACCTCATCTCTACTAAAAATACAAAAATTAGCTGGGTGTGGTGGTGGGCACCTGTAATCCCAGACAATGCAAATCAGGGCTGCAAATCTCACAGGGGCCTTCCAATGGCCATAACCTCTCAGACAGGTTTTTTTCTCTCTTTTTCTTTTCCTACTCACTTAACAAGACGACTTTGTTGTATTCCTTGGGGATATGTGTGAGTGTGTATGGATTTACCTCTGATTAATCTTTATCGTAAGGGTAGAGCCCTCAGGGGTTCTGGTGTATGGTGGGGCACACCATCTATATTCTCACTACCTGGGTAGACTCAGGGCCATAACTCTTCATTAGTCCACCAAATTCAAAGTCTAAGTTTGCAGGAATTTGTAAATCTCTTCAGGTCAAAAGGACTTTGGTACTGTGTGCCCTCTTTACCTCTCCAAGTATATTAGCCTGTTTGCATGCTGCTAATAAAGACATACCTGAGACTGGGTAATTTATAAAGGAAAGAGATTTAATTGACTCACAGTTCCACATGGCTGGGGGAGGCCTTACAATCATGGCTGAAAGCAAATGAGGAGCAAAGTCACATCTTACATGGTAGCAGGCAAGAGAGCTTATGCAGGGGAACTCCTTTTATAAAACCATCAGATCTTGTGAGACTTATTCACTATCACCAGAACAGCACGGGAAAGGCCTGCCCCCATGATTAAATTACCTCCTACCAGGTACCTCCCACAACACATGGGGATTATGGGAGCTACAATTCAAGGTGAGATTTAGTTGGGGACACAGCCAAACCATATCACCAAGGTTTTGTTTTCCCTTAGAGTTTGGCCTGGTTGTTTCTATTAGCTTTTCAGGTTATCAATTTAAAAAATAATTTATCTAAGTATTTTGTTAAATTATTCTCAGCAGCAAACTGAAGCCACAATTGGAAATGGAAGTCCCTTGGATACTGTGTTCTACGGATGATGTTCATCATATCATTACTCATCCAGTTGCCCTATGTGTAACTCTTGACTATACACACTTCCTCCTATTTCACAGCCAATCCTTCACAAACTCCCACTGGTTTCATTCATAATTTGCCACTGTTTTCTTCATACTTGTGGCCACTTTTCTAATCCAGACCCTCATCATCACATTTCAGCTTTTAAAATAGCCTCTTATCAACATATCACTTGGCCAAAAATCTTACATTTTCCAGTATATTCCCCATATGATCTTTCTAAAATACAAATATGATTATGTTAATAATCTTTTAATGGCATGATGAAATTCTTTAGCTTGACTCAAATGGAAAACTGGGTTCAGTTTACCTGCTTGGTCTTATCATCAATAAGTCATCCCTAGGAAATTTAGCTATAGTATACTACATGTGCCCTATATTTCAACACAACATCTTAATTCCTCTACATGGAATGTTCCCTTATAGTCTTATCTTGATCTTCATGTATTAAAGATTTAACACTGTCAATTTCAAATGTATTCTACTTTGGCACTTCAGTTGATTCCTTCTCATGTTCCTTATAGTTCATTTTTGTATATTTACATATCTTGTATTCTTTTAGAGCATTGACTCAATATGATATATTTGTACTATTTATATTTTATCACAGAAAGAACTTTGTTTATTGAATACTTTCAGCCTAAAATTCCTGCTCTGTGTGAATATGAACATTACTGCCTCTGCTTTCTCTCCCAGTGTGTTTCACATACTTGTTCAAATCTTTATTTATATTTTTTTCTCTCCACTTTAGCTTTAAGTTTTTCACTCCTGGCAATATATTTCAAGATTTTAAAATCCAAAATAAGACTCTGTCTTTAATGGAGAAATGTAGATTACCTCGGATATCTGCTCATTCCCTCATCTGCTTCAAGGCCGCTCACCCAGACCACAATACATGCTACACCACACAACGCAACACACACTTCACCTGGCACTTCCCATTCACCTATCTTGCTTTTTTTTTTTTTCCTGTGTAGCATTTATCTTACATACAGCCTATTTTGGTTTATTTGTTAATTATCAGTGTCTTCTGACAAGTGTGTAAGTTCCACAGGAAAAGAGACTGCTGTACCCTTAGTGATTGGAACAGTACCTGGCATATACGAGGTACTCAATAAATGCTGCTGAATAAATGAACATTTATGGTGATAACTGTAGACCAGCTCTACTTTTGGTTATTCTATTTTATGCTTTGTACATTTTCTGCTATGTCTTTTCTCTCTTTCATGTCTATTTTTATGGGTTATTCTGTTTCCTTTGCTTTAATACATATACACAAACTTAAATGTATACATATATGTGTGTGTGTGTGTGTGTGTGTGTGTGTGTAGAGATTGTTGCCCCGGCTGGTCTTGAACTCCTGCGCTCAAGTGATGCTCCCGCCTTGGCCTCCCAAAGTTCTGGAATTACAAGCATGAGCCACCACATCTAGCCTTCTTTTGCTTTTTAAGACTTGTATTGTACACACTTTTTTTTTTTTTTGAGACAGAGTTTTGCCTGTCACCCAGGCTGGAGTGCAGTGGCACGAACTTGGCTCACTGTAACCTCCACCTCCTGGGTTCAAGCGATTCTCCTGCCTCAGCCTCCCAAGTAGCTGGGATTACAGACGCCCGCCAGCATGCACATTTAAAAAAATTCCATGAATGATCACAATAAAGGATTCCAAAAAAATTCCTAACTCCATGTAAAGTTATACTCAGATAAAGAGATAGTATTTTGGATTGCCTTTTAGGGATGGCAAAACCTTGGCTTTTTAGTTTTAACTTTTTGTTATTCCTCTTGTCTTTTAAATTCTTGATTATTTTATCATGTGGTTCTGAGAGACTCTCACTGTGTTTTTATTTTTTGTGTCAATAATATTTATAATTATTTCCTCTGAATCACATGTAGTCAGGCTTTTTCTTATGCTCCCGTGAGCTTTTCAGTAGCAAAACTTTGCTGTTGTAATTGCTAAGGTTCAATATGCCATATTTTGTGGATAAATATGGCAAGAAATGCATGTTTCACATGTTAACAGCTTGGGAATTGAGACACGTCTTATAATTGATGTGTCTTACAATCATTGTCAGCCAGAGGGCACTGAAACCATAGTGGTCAATTGCCTACCCATGCATGTACTTTGTCTCAGTTATTTATAACTTTATAAATATTTATAAATCAGTTATTTATAACTTTTATAAAGTGTCATCACTTTAACTGAGCTTCCTAGATCATTGGTGCAATACATGTTGAGTTTTATTGCTGCTTAAAATGCTTTCAAACAAAGTTATTGTGTGTGCAGAGAAGAAAATAAAGCAATAGGACATATGTTTATCAGTAAAACCAGTGTCACGGAAGGAATCACCATAATTTGTTGTAGAAGAATTCTATGTTTTTCTTTTAGAAAATGAATACGAATATGAATAATGAGTTGAGTTGGTTCCAAATTCTTAGGTGAAACTAATTTTTTTGGAGGTTCTATATTAGAATATGCAACAGGCATTGTTGCAGCAGAAGAATCCAAGGCTGGCTTGATTTTTGTTTCTTTAAAATTGACTTACATTTCCCATTTCGAAGAGTGTTTCTGCTTTTAGTGTTGGTTTGTTTTGCTTTTAGTTAAAAAAATTAATGTCATTATTGATTTTGGTTTCCTCTGTTCTTTCTGTTTTTTGTATTTATCCATCCATCCATCCATCCACCCACCCATTTCTATCAGAGGGCTATACTATGCCAGAAACTGTAGATAAAAGAGAGAAACATACAGCCACAATTTTTGTTCATCACTAGAAATCCCTACAATTTTGCAGTTCCTGAATCTTTAGCATCTATATTTATTATTTTAGATTTTCTCCACTTATTTGTTCATTTTACATCTGGGTATGTTTCTATAGTTTATATTTATAATTTTTAATATTCTATAATTTTTATTGACAATTTAGTTTTCTTAGGTGTTATTTTTACTGTTTCCAACATTATCTTGCTAGGTCTATTTTGGTTTTTATTTCACAATATGTGCTGTTTATTCTCTATTTGGCCATTCCTCCAGATCCACTCTCAGACTTTCTCTTTCCTGTTTGGTGCAATGGAAGACTGATTTCTATGAATTGCAATCTTTGTGCTGTTTCCAGTTGACTCCTGATTGGGCTTGGCAAATGAAATGCAGCAGCAGGAGTTAAGAAAGGAGAAGGAGACAGAAGTTAAGGTAGTTTTCATCCTCTTTCTTCTTGCTTTGGTGGTGTGGTTTTGTGGTGGCTGTGAGCTTCCTAGATTACACCTCTTAAAGGGTGGTCCCTACTCCATTCCAGCTTTGACTGGGCTTTAGTAATGCCATCTATCTATCTTATCCCCCCTCTAAGCAAAGAGACTGTAACATCTTTCTTCCATTGCTAGTCTCTGGATATTTTACTATCACTGTTGCTCCCTTTAACTATGTCTGCCCTCTGCAAATAGTCCCCTTGTAAAGCTTCTTCAGGTAAAACACCTGAGAGGAATTACGTTTCCTGCATGGTCCAAAACTGATATAGTGTTTTTACCTACAGTGTCCCTAAGGCATAGAATATAGTGGTGGGATTCTGGGACTGAGTTGCTTACACACTTAATGAGTGAACAGATGACCACTTATGCCTGGCAAACCATAGCAAGCAAGGGCTTCACAATTACTCAAATTATCTCTGTGGCGAGTGTGGGATGCAGTGTCTGTGGAGGGCAAGACTTGAGGTGGTCCATTGGAGTAGCTGCAGTTGATTACAGTGACAACCATAATTTTTACAAAGATTGTGGGGTGGCATGACTTCTATGGATATATTGGAGAGCTTACAAAAGCAGAAAGAAAAGCTTGGGATGAATATTCAATTCAAGGCCAGAGTAGAGGCTCTGGTAGTCATACAGGGAAAAAAATGAACCTCACTTCATGACATATACAAAATTAGAGATTTTACTTTGATCTGTATATAAAATCTAAAACAACCAATTTCCAGAAAACAGGAGAATATCTTCATAGCTTTGGGATAGGCAAAGAATTCTTAAATAGAATACAAGAAGTAAAAAGTGCTAACCATAAAAGGAAAGATTGGTCAATTGAGCTTTCAAAAATTAATAATTTTTGTTCAAAAGATACCATGAAGAAGATAAATAAGACAAGCCACTAATTACAAGAAGATATTTCCAAGACATATTTCTAACAAAAAATCATATCCGTAATACATTAAAATCTTATAGAAATCAGTAAGAAAAGTAACTCAAATCAAAACTTCATTCAAAAAAGACTTGAAAAGAATTTACAAAAAAGGATATAAAAATGAACACATGAAAATATACTTAACATTATTACTCATGCAAACTAAATCTTCAGTGAAATACCATTAGGCTGGGCACAGTGGCTCATGCCTGTAATCCCAACATTTTGGGAGGCCTACATGGGCAGATCATTTGAGGTCAGGAGTTTGAGACCAGCCTGGCCAACAAGGTGAAACCCTGTCTCTACTAACAATACAAAAAAAAAAAAAAAAATTAGCTGGGCATGGTGGCGGGTATCTGTAATCCCAGCTACTCGGGAGGCTGAGGCAGGAGAATCGCTTGAACCCGGGAGGCGGAGGTTGCAGTGAGCTGAGATCATACCACTGCACCCCAGTCTGAGCAACAGAGCAAGACTCTGTCTCAAAAAAAAAAAAAAAAAAAAAAAAAAAAAAAAAAAGAAATGCAGCAAGAGGCAAGAGGGAGCTTTCTGGAATACTGGAAACGTTCAACATTGTGCTCCTAACAATATTCACAATTACTTTCATTTATTTCACAATCATATAAAGTCTGATCACCAGAATCTTAGGTTGACACAGCTGCTGTCTCAACACATGATTCAGACATACAAACCACATGGATTAATCTTGATACTGACATAAGTTAAACAAAAGCTTTATTGACAGAATAGAGAATAAATAAACTGAGTGGTGAAGATCTGGAGAAATAGCATCAGGATTTTGTGGTCTGTCCTTATTCTCAAACAAGGAAGGACCAATAGAGGAGATTGTATAACTGTAAAACTGCTTTTGCTGGTGAACATCAAGGACAAAATATTGAGGCCTGCAAAACCATGCTTTTTGAAGTTATATCAGAAACTTCGTCATTTAAAATCGTATCAGAGACTGAAGATCAGAAGAAACTGGAGATCAGAAGAAATTTTAAACTATACAATAAAAAATGCTGTGTGTTAAAAACAACAAACAAAAAAACACAGCCTCTGTCTTGTCTTGGTGACAGTGTTTTTCTAATTTCTGTTAGACCTAATAAGATATCTCCAAGTCTACCTCAATCTCAAAAGTTACCCAATAATCTATAATAGTTCATTGTTGAGGCAATATTGAGAGAAGGAAGGTAAATCAACAAAATCCTGAAGGCTCTCGGTTATACCCTTCTAACAAGTAAGAAGGTGTATTGGTCCCTTTTCATGCTGCTGATCAAGACATGCCCGAGACTGGGCAATTTACAAAAGAAAGACATTTAATTAGACTTACAGTTCCACATGGCTGGGGAAGATCTCACAATCATGGCAGAGGGTGGAAGGCACTTCTTACATGGTTGCAGCAAGAGAGAAATGAGGAGGAAGCAAAAGCGGAAACCCCTTATAAACCCATAAGATCTTGTGAGACTTATTCACTATCATGAGAATAGCACAGGAAAAACCAGCCCCCATGATTTGATTACCTCCCCCTGGGTCCCTCCCACATGTGGGAATTCTGGGAGATACAACTCAAGTTGAGATTTGGGTTGGGACACAGCCAAACCATATAAGAAGGTGACAGTGGATGAGAAGATATCAAAAGGAAAAGTAAAGGGAAAAATCAAGCCCTCATAAGTGAAGCCAGGTTTACCACTTTCCAAGGCACTTTACTGAGTTGAGAAAATGGGTCCAAGTCCTATCTAAATGAGGTGAAGCAGATGGGTCTCAAGAATAATTCACCTACACTATGTTAGAGCAAATAGAAGATCTGACCAGTGCTGCACCTTTAATGATGAACTTGATGGAAACAGGAAGAGTGGGAAGAACAGAAGAAGAAGGAAGGAAAAGGGATAAAGAAGGAGGTGGGTGAGTAGAGGAGGGGAGTAGGGAAGATTAGAAAAAGAGGGATTATAGAGAGGAGGCAGAGCAAGATGGCTGAATAGAGCCTCCAGTGATTATCCACCCCTGCAGGAACATCAAATTGAACAATGATCCACACAAGAAAGCACCTTTATAAGAACCAGAAATCAGCTTGGGTACCAGCTTGGCCACAGTGGACAATTCACGAAGTGGGCTCCTGGGGTCTCTGATTCCAGGACTTGGCTCTTGTGTGGCATTTCTAAACCTGCCCTGGGCCAGAGTGGGGCCACTGCCCTGAAAGGAGAAATCCAGGACTGGCAGCATTCACCAGAAGCTGACTGAAGAGCCCTTGGACCTTGAGTGAATAGTGGCGGTAGCCAGGGGGTAATTGCCATGGGCTTGGGGTGGTGGTGGCCATGGAGAGAGACTGCTCTGCTTCAGGATAAAGGAGGGAAGAGTAAGAAAGACTTTGTCTTGCAGCTTGGGTGCCAGCTTAGCCGCAATAGAATAGAATACCACATAGACTCTAAGGGTCTCAACTTCCTTGGCTTCCAGATGGCATCTCTGGACCTAGCTGGGGCTGGGGGCAACTCACTGCCCTGAAGGGAAGATCATAACCCTGGCTGGACTCATCACCTGCTGATTATAGAGCTCTTGGGCCTAGAGTGAACATAGGTAGTAGCCAGGCAGTGGAAACTGTGGGCCTTGGGCAAGACCTGGTGCTGTGCTGGCTCTGGGTTTGACCCAGTGCAGTCCTAGTGGTGGTGGCTACAAGGGTGCTTGCATCACCCCTCCCCTAGCTCCAGGCAGCTTAGCACAGAGAAAGAGACACTATTTGTTTGGTGGAAAGTAAGGTAAGAGAACAAAAGTCTCTTCCTGGTAATACAGTCTCTTCCTGTAATACCTGGTAATACAGTCTCTTCCTGTAATACCTGGTAATACAGGTAATACAAGTTCTCCTGGATCTTACATAAGACCACCAAGGCAGTACTTCTACAAGTTGGCAATAGCCAAAGCATTACTGGGCTTGAGGTACCTCCTAATGCAGATTCAGCTGCAGTGAGCAAAGACTTAGATCACAACACTCAAGTCCCTTTGAATACTTGGAAAGCTTTCCCAAGAAAGACAGGTACGAACAAGCCCAGACTGTGAAAACTAAAATAAATACCAAACTCTTTAATCCCCAGACACCAATCAATGTCCAGAAGCATCAAGACCATCCAGGAGAACATGACCTCACCAAAGGAACAAAATAAGGCACCAGAGACCGATCTTGGAGAGACAGAGATATGTGACCTTTCAGACAGAGAATTCAGAATAGCTGTTGTGAGAAAACTCAAGGAAATTCAAGATAATATAGAGAAGGAATCCAGAATCCTGTCAGATAAATTTAGCAAAGAGATTGAAACAATTAAAAAGAATCAAGCAGAATTCTGGAGCTGAAAAATGCAATTGACATACTGAAGAATTATCAGAGTCTCTTAATAGCAGAATTGATAAAGCAGAATAAAGAATTAGTGAGCTTGAAGACAACCCACTTAAAAATACACAATTAGAGTAGATGAAAGAAAAAAGAATAAAAAGGAATGAAGCATGCTTGTAAAATCTAGAAATTAGCCTCAAAAGGGCAAATCTAAGAGTTATTGGCCTTAAAGAGGAAGTAGAGAAAGAGATAGGGATTGAACATTTATTCAAAGGAGTAATAACAGAGAACTTCCCAAACTTAGAGAAAGATATCAATATCCAAGCACAAGAAGGTAACAGAACACCAAACAGATTTCAGCCAAAGAAGATGACCTCAAGGCATTTAATAATGAAACTCCCAAAGGTCAAGGATAAAGAAAGGATCCTAAAAGCAGCAAGAGAAAAGAATCAATAACATACAAAGGAGCCCCAATATATCTGGCACAGGCTTTTCAGTGTAAACCTTACAGGCCAGGAAAAAGTGGCATGACGTATATTTTTTAAAACTTTTATCCCAGAATGGTATATCTGGCAAAAATATCCTTTAAACATGAAAAAGAAATATTTTCTGAGATAAAAAAAGAAACCTGAGGGATTTCATCAACACCAGACCTGCCATATAAGAAATGCTAAAGGGAATACTTCAAGCATAAATAAAAAGATATTAATGAGCAATAAGAAATCATCTGAAGGTACAAAACTCACTGGTCATAGTAAGTACACAGAAACACACAGAATATTATAACATGTTAATTATGGTATGTAAACTACTCATATGTTGAGTAGAAAAACTAAAAGATAAACTGATCAAATATAATAACTACAACAACTTTTCAAGACATGTCAGTTTAAAATAATGGGTTATAAGATATTATGGTAACCTAGAATTTAAAAACATACAACAGATATGCAAAAAATAAAAGCAAGAAATTAATAGAAGAATTGATCAAGCGGAATAAAGAATCAGTGAGCTTGAAGACAGAAATTAAAACATGCTACCAGAGAAAATTGCCTTCACTAAAAGGAAGATAGGAAGGAAAAAGAGAAGGAAGAGAAGACCACAAAACAATCAGAAAAAAATGAAATGTCAGGAGTAAGTTCTGACTTATCAATAACAATATTTAATGTAAATGGACTAAACTCTCCAATCAAAAGACATAGAGTGCCTGAATGGATTTTTTTTAAAAAGTCCCAGTGATCTGTTGCCTGCAAGAAACACACTTCACCTAAAAAGACACACATAGACTGAAAATAAAGAGATGGAAAAATATATTCCAGGCAAGTGGAAACCAAAAGAGAGCAGAAGTCACTATACTTATATCAGACAAAATAGATTTCAAGACAAAAACTATAGAAAGAGACAAAGAGGGTCATTATATAATGATAAAGGGGTCAATTCAGCAAGAGGATATAAAAATTATAACTATATATACACTCAATGCTGGAGCCCTCAGATAGAGAAAGCAAATATTATCAGAGCTAAGGAAAGAGATAGATCCCAATACAATAACTGTTGGAGAATTCAACAACCCATGTTCACCTTTGGACATGATTTTCTGTCTGGACAGGTCATCCAGACAGAAAATCAAAAAAGAAACATTGGACTTAATCTGCACTGTAGACCAAATGGACCTAATAGATATTTGCAGAACATGTCAACCAATGGCTGCAGAATGCACGCTCTTCTCCTCAGCACATAGATCATTCTGAAATAAATAGAACATATGTTAGGCCATCCATATCCATATGCAGAAGATATCCATGTGCAGAAGAATGAAACTAGACCTCTTTCTCCACACACAAAAATCAAAACAAAATGGATTAAAGGCTTAAATCTAAAAACTATAAAAAAAAACTATAAAACGACTAAAAGAAAACTTTGAGGAAACTATCCACGACATTAATCTAGGCAAAGATTTCTTAAGTAATATCCCACAAACACAGGGAACCAAAGCAAAAACGGACAAATGGAATCACATCAAGTTAGAGAGCTTCTGCACAACAAAAGAAACAATTAACAAAGTGAACAGACAATCCACAGAACAGAAGAAAATATTTGCAAACTACCCATCTGACAAGGAATTAATAACTAGAATATATAAAAAGTTCAAACAACTCAATAGGAAAAAACTAACAATCTGATTTTAAAATGGGCAAAAATCTGAATAGACATTTCTCAAAAGATGACATACAAACGGCAGACAGGCGTATGAAAAGGTGCTCAACATCACTGACCATCGGTGAAATACAAATCAAAACTACAATGAGATTATCATCTCATCCCAGTTAAAATAGCTTTTATCGAAAAGACAGGCAATAATGAATGCTGGTGAGGATGTGGAGAAAAGGGAACCCTTGTACACTGTTGGTGGGAATATAAATTAGTACAATGGAGAGTACATTAGTACTATGAAGAATAGTTTGGAGGTTCCTCAGAAAACTAACAATAGAGCTACCATATGATCCAGCAATCCCACTGCTAGGATATACCCCCCAAAAAAGAGATCAGTACATTGAAGAGATATCTACACTCCCATGTTTATTGTAGTACTATTCACAACAGTGAAGCTTTGGAAGCAGCCTAAGTGTCCATCAACAGATGAATGAATAAAGAAAATATGGTACATATACACAATGGAGTACTATTCAGCCATAAAAAGAATGAGATCCTGTCATTTGCAACAACATGATTGGAACTGGAGGACATGATGTTAAGTGAAATATGCCAGGGACAGAAGGACAGAGTTTGCATGTTCTCACTTATTTGAGGGAACTAAATATTTTAAAAATGGAACTCACAGACATAGAGAGTAGAATAATGGTTACCAGAGGCTGGGAAGGGTAGTGGGGCATTATGTAGGGGGAGAATGGCGATGGTTAATGGGTACAAAAATATCATTACATAGAATGAATAAGATCTAGTATTTGACAGCACAACAGAGTGACTACAGTCAATAATAATTTATTATATATTTTAAAATAACTGGAAGAATATAATTTGAATGTTTGTAACATAAAGGATAAATTCTTGATGTGATGGATACCCCATTTACCCCGATATGATTATTACACAGTGTATGCCTGTATCAAAATATCTCATGTATCCCATAAATTTATACACCTACTATGTACCCACAAAAATTAAGAATAAAATATTTTTAAAAAAAGGAAGGGAAGAGAAGGAAGAAACTAACAGCTTGTAAAAGATAAAAAGAATCAAGTTGAGACAAAGCACATCCCAAGATAGGAGGTAAATTTACTTCCATATTCTGCCTCAAAAAATCTTAATAAATTAAATTCAACAAAACAAGATCTCAAAGACTCAATAATAGAAAGACAAAATAAAATGAAAGTGCAGGTCGCAAACATACAGAAATAAATTGAGAATCATGTCCCTTTATCACTCTAGGGTCCTAGGCTGGTTAGCAAAATTCAACTGAGTTGGAAAGGAGTGGGCAACTATCATTAAGGTCAATCAATATTAACTGTTTTGAGATTTGCTAAAGGGTTCAAAATTACAGCCAGATAGGAAGAATAAATTTTAGTGTTCTATACCACTGGAGGATGGCATAGTTAACACTAATATGTTATATAGTTTAAAATAGCTAGGAGGAGGATATTGAACATTCCCAACATAAAGAAATGATAAATGTTTGAGATGACAGATATGCTAATTACCCTGATCTGATCACTCTACATTATATGTGTCAAAATAGTACTTTGTACCCCATGAATATGTAAAATCAATATTTGTTAGTTAAGAAATAAAATTATACTTAAAAATTAACTACTTCTTTTGCTATGCAAACACTGATAGGAGCTATATAAACTTGATCAATGAAAGCACAAGATTACCAAATGAAAGAGATGAGAGCAGTGTATCATTCACACAACTCCACCATTACTGGTTGTGTGTCAGTTGTATCAGTGTAATCAGCAAAAGTAAGCTAACATTACCTACTTCAGCAAAGTTGTTCTGAATATCAGATGAGATGATATTTGTAACATGCTGAGCACAATTGTAGCTTGACAAGTGGTAGCTGTTATTATTTGGCTTTTGGGACAGTAAAATATCTCTGAAATGGTAAATGAGAACATAGCATGGTGACCTAGTGTTGCCTTTCTTTAGGACTATCCATAGGATCCTACTTCTGTAGATCCTACAAATCCATCACCCCTAATAGTTTTGAGGTCTTAGGATTAGTTGATTAATACGGCAGGTTTTTCATATATCTTCTAATCCTGGGCCACATGTAATGCTTACACCAGTGAAAGCAAATTTCTTACCTGCCTTTGTCGAGTAAACCTTTCCACGTTGAGAAACAAAAGTAATAGCTGATGTATAAAAACTATGAAAAGTCTTCTTTATGATATCATCATGAAAGTTAGCTATTAATTGAAAGGTGTTGCCGCCATCAACTGAAAGCCATATCTAAAGGAATAAAGAGATAATACCTTACTAAAGGGCTGCCATGCAACAGTTGGCAGTTACCTATCAGCCTACATGAGAATAGCCATGTGGCATGATCTTTTCCATATGCCTACATTCATCTCTCTCTCTCTCTCTCACACACACACACACACACACACACACACTCGTATACAGACTCCTTATCTACTTTGTCTACCTTCTATTTCCATCCTAGAGTGTGTATGAAGGTGTCTGTGGCAGAGTACCGGTCTACACAATATGCATAGTGATTGTATAAAATAACAAAGTTATTCCTATGATCTCCCAAATAATTCCGTGTTCATAAAAGAATGGAGTGCTGGGTGCATTTGGATCTGGGGGAGGGGTTTACCCCATATTGACATAATACTTCATGTTCTAGGTGTCTGGCAAATATATATGCACACATATTTTGCATGGAAGAGCCCCTTGTCATTTGCAAGGGATGTGTCCTGGGACCTTTGTAGATCCTCAAATCACTTATCTCACTGTATAGTTATATTAGTTTATTACTATAGCATCTTAGTTTCTCTGTTTCCTCATCTTTAGGTAAGAGTTGTTTGAGGATAAAACAGATCAATTCTGTATTATGATTCCCAGTTGCTACCGCTTTTAATAGCCTGAGACTCATTCACATGAAGATTTCTGTTGTTTGGATTTTTAAAAAATTAATTTTAATAACAAGTTATACAAGAAAATAGGCTTTTCTTACATTTCCAACTTTATAAATATGGCTGAAGAATCTGAGACCACCATCCAAACAATTCTCCTTTTATGCCTCATCTAATATAATCAATCCTAGTCTCCTCTATCCCTTCCCATAGGTGACCAGTTAATCGGTTTGAAAATTCGAAGCATTTACATTCATATGTATGCAGATACCAATAGAATATGTACAGTACTGATTTCATTTTTATGGTAGGGAGGACAGAAAGGCTTTTAGACTTGGACAGGAAGTAACTTTGCCCTGGACTGCTTGCTTACTGGGCCTGAATATTACAAACACATACAGGAAACATACTGAATACACATAGGTGCTTCTGTTACTCAGGATGCAGCACTCATTGCTGGCATAACACAATCCATGATCCAAAGCATATGGTATGTGGACCTCAATTTTCACTCTTGCTTTGGGCCCTGCAAACATTACTGGTGAGCAGGGAGGTAGTTAGGTGTCTAAGGAAGGGCACCTTGAACAATAGGCTCGAACTTGTATCATATTGTACCTGTTTTTCTATAAGTTACATTTGTCACGCAACAATGTATCTCAGATCATTTTATGTTAGCTCATGTGGATCAGCACATTCTTCTACACTGTCCTATAGTCTCCAACTTATGGATATACCATACTTGAGATAGTCTACTTTTCTACTATACTACTGAACATTTAAAAGTTGTACCCAAATTTTCACTGTTGTGAATAATACTGCAGTGAACATTCATTTATCTGCCTATTTGTACTAACGTTACAGTGTTATCTTTAAAGAAAATACTGAAAAATTAAGCTGCTGAGTCAGATGCTATCATATATATATATATATATATATATTTAAGACAGGGTCTCACTCTGTCACCCAGGCTGCAGTGCAGTGGCACAATCTTGGCTCACTGCCACCTCTGCCTTCTCAGCTCAAGCCATCTTTTCACCTCAGCCTCCCAAGTAGCTGGGACTACAGGCATAAGCCACCATGCCCGGCTAATTTTTGTAGAGATGGGTTTTTGCCATGTTGCCCAGGCTGGTCTGAAACTCCCGGGCTCAAGCGATTCTCCTGCCTTGGCCTCCCGAAGTGCTGGTATCACAGGCATGAGCCACTGCATCTAGCCACATTTCTACAACTTTAATAGAGACTACCCAAGTGCTCTTCAGTTTTGCTGAACCAGATTACAGTCCCACCAGTAGTGTATGAGAGTATCTGTTTCCCCAAACCTCACCAATACTTGATATGACCAAAAATTTATTTTTAATTTTTACTCATGATCAGAATGAAAAATGACATCTCATTGTGTTTTTCCCTAAATATTTTAAATTATTTATCTATACATGGCTCATTTGTATTTTTCCTTATATTATTTAATAATATAATGAACTGTGTGAACTGAAAACCTATGAATCGGCATATTGCTAGTAATTTACATCTTCCTGTTTCTCCCCATTCCTATCCCTCTGCCTTTCCTGTTACATATCCAATATCCTGAATTTTGTGTTTTTTCATTCCCTTGGTATTTAAAATAATTTAAGCACATATGTTTAAATAACATAATGCTTAATTTTACTTATTTTTGCTCCTTGTAAAAAGGGCTATCCATACCATATATTGTCTTCTATAACTTACTTTCCCTCAACATTATTTACTTAAATTCATACATGTTGCATACAGCTCAGTTCATTTGCTTTTTCATTTCCATATAATAGTTCATTAGGTGAATAAGATGTAATTTACTTATTCATTTTCCTATTCATAGACATCTGGATTACTTTTAGTAATTTGATGTTATTACTAGCAGTACCCATGACAAACATTTTAAAATGTCTCCGGATATATGTGTTTCCCTTGCTGAAAAGTGAAATTGGTGGGACATAGGATATGCAAATATTCACATTTACAAGATAATAATAACAATGGCAGATTGCTTTCCAGAATAGTTGTAATAATTTACTCTCCCAGCAGCAATATATAAGAAATCGTGTTGACCTACACTTTCAACATTTTGTATCGACAGAATTTATTTTGCCAGTTAAGTAGCTGAAAATGATATCGTCGTTCATTCCTGATTTGTATTTCCCTGATTGCTTGTGAACTCCATCATCTCTTCACGTATTCATTCCACTTGTTTCCTTTTCTGTGATATGCTTATTTGTGTGTTTTCTCCTTTTTGCTATTAGGTTGTCTTTTTCATATTGCTTTGCAGAAATTCTTTATATATTCTTACTTCTATAATTCTTTCTTAGTTAAATGTATTGTAAATATCATCTCCCAGTTTGCAGATTGTTGTTGTTTTTCACTTCTTAGTATATCCTTCATGAAAAAGTCTCTTCCTCTTTCTCTCCTTCTTCTTTCTTTCTCCTTCCTCCTCCCTCCTCCACCTCCTTCTCCTCTTCTGCTTCCCCCTCCTCCTTTTTTTAAAAAGAGGATGCAGAAAACTTTCTTTAGGTAAAAAGTGAAGTTAAGAGACTCTGTGATCTGATTCGGGGACCTAACCAAATAAGAAAACTGACTGCTAAATGGCTGACTTACAGGTGAGATTTTGGCCCATATCACCAGTGTAACTTAAGATCAGTCTTCATTTCTTTTATTATTTTTCATTTTGAATGTTTAACTTGACCCAAATTATAAGTCATTGCCAAATTACTTTGGAAATATCCTTTGTCTTGATTGTGTTATTGCATATGGGTGGTGCTCAAACGGAGGCTGAGGCAGGCGGATCACGAGGTCAGGAGATCGAGACCATCCTGGCTAACGCGGTGAAACCCTGTCTCTACTAAAAATACAAAAAATTAGCTGGGTGTAGTGGAGGGCGCCTGTAGTCCCAGCTACTTGGGAGGCTGAGGCAGAAGAATGGCGTGAACCCGGGAGGCGGAGCTTGCAGTGAGCCGAGATCGCACCACTGCACTCCAGCCTGGGCGACAAAGTGAGACTCCGTCTCAAAAAAAAAAAAAAAAAAAAAAATTAATTCAGATGTTTTCAATTTTGTGAAGAGATGGCGGATATTTTCTAGGTCATAATACAAGAGTGTTTTGTGATCTAACTATTGGTTATTTTATAATTTTTTCTTTTTTATTGAGGTAAAAAACACATATCATAAACTTTATCATGTTATCCATTATTAAGCATACAGTTCAGTAGTGTTACGTATATTTACATTGTAGTGGAAGAGTTCCCCCGCACATGCATAGTCTCCCCCATTACTAGCATTCCCCAACAACTGATGAACCTACACTGATACATCATTATCACTCAGAGTCCATAGTTTACATTAGGGACCATTCTTAGTCTTATACATCCTATGGACTTAGACAAACGTGTAATGGCATGTATCCACCATTATAGTATCAGACAGAAGAGTTTCACTGCCCTAAAAGTCCTCTGTTCTCGGCCTATTCAACCTCTCTGCCCTCTAATCCCTGGCAACCACGGATCTTCTTGCTGTCTCCATAGTTTTGCCTTTTCCAGAATGTCATATATTGGAATCATAAAGTTTGTAGCCTTTTCAGATTAGTTTCTTTCCCTTAGTAATATGCATTTAAGCTTCTTCCATGTCTTTTTTTTTTTTTTTTTTTTTTTTGAGACAGAGTCTCACTCAATCACCCAGGCTGGAGTGCAGTGGTGCAATCTCGGCTCACTGCAACCTCTGCCTCCCCAGTTCAAGCGATTCTCCTGTCTCAGCCTCCTGAGTAGCTGGGATTACAAGCGCCTGCCACCACACCCAGCTAATTTTTGTATTTTTAGTAGAGACAGGGTTTCACCATGTTAGCCAGGCTGGTCTCGAACTCCTGACCTCAGGTGATCCACCCGCCTCGGCCTCCCAAAGTGCTGGGATTACAGTCTTCCATGTCTTTTACATGGCTTGATAACTCATTTCTGCTTAGCACTGAATAATAATCCATCATCTGGATATACCAAGTTTATTTGTCCATTCTCCTAGTGAAGGACATCTTGGTTGCTGTACAACCCTCACATCCAACTGGACCATTTTGTAAGCTCTATTAGATTTACATCTGTTTTAGCTATTGTTAATCTGTTTCCACAAGAGTTGTTCCAATTCCTTGGTCTTTCTAAATTTTTGTTCAACTGTTCGTTCTGTTTCTTAGCTTCATTTCAGAGGACACCATATAAACCCTTTATCTTTAATTCTGACTATTTATTGTCCACAATCAAAACACACATAAATTGATTTTTGTGTGTGTGTGAGATCAGGTCTTACTCTGTCACCCAGGTTGGAGTGCAATGGCACAATCTTGGCTAACTGCAACCTCTACCTCCCAGGCTCAAGGAAACCTTCCACCTCAGCTTCCTGAGTAGCTGGGACCACAGGAACGTGCCACCACACCTGGATAATTTTTTTTTATTTTTTGGTGGAGACAGGGTTTTGGCATGTTGCCCAAGCTCGTCGCGAACTCCTGAGCTCAGGCAATCCACTCACCTTGACATCCCAAAGTGCTGGGATTACAGGTGTGAGCCACTGCACCCAGCCTGAATTTTTGAGATGTATAAAATACTGGCAAAATTTTTGATCTACACACTTTTAAACCATTAAGTTCAAGTATAATAACTCCTTACATCACTGTTAGTTTCCAATCCATGCGCCCTAGGAATTCTAGAACAAAAGACAATGAAGCAACCACTTTTTCAAAAAATGACAGAAAATGAGTAAATAAAGTCATAGGATTCTACTCAGTTGGAGAAATACAGAGAAAAAAACACAAGATGGAGACTGGGGGAAATGCAGGCCCAAGAACTCTATTTAGATGATCGCCTGTTATATATGTGGAGAAACCTGGACACCACCAAATGCAAATTGTGTTCCTCTTATAAGGGGAACAAACATTCAAGGGTCAAAGAAGAAATTAGAGATTTTAAACTGATATTGGCTGGGTGTGGTGGCTTATGCCTATAATCCCAGCACTTTGGGAGGCGAAAACGGCCAGATCACTTGAGGTCAGGAGATAGAGACCAGCCTGGCTAACATGGTGAAACCCCCTCTTTACTAAAAATACAAAAATTAGCTGGGTGTGGTGGCAGGTGCCTGTAATCCCAGCTACTTGGGAGGCTGAGGCAGGAGAATCACTTGAACCCGGGAGGTGGTGGTCGCAGTGAGCCTGGGCGACAGAACAAGACTCCGTCTCAAAAACAAACTAACAAAAAAACCCACAAAAACCCCCAAACGGATATGGTTAGGCTTTGTGTCCCTACCCAGATCTCATCTTGAATTATAATCCCCATAATCCCCAGGTGTTGAGGAAGGAACCAGGTGGAAGTGATTGGATCATGGGGGCGATTTCCCCATGCTGTTCTCGTGATAGTGAGTTCTCATGAGATCTAATGGTTTTATAAGAGGCTGTTGCCCCTTCACTCTGCCACTCTTCTCTCAGCAGTCTACTCTAGATCTCTTGAACTTTCTAGCTAATCAAGGGTACAAGGCATCTAGGTCGAAGGCCCAGCTTTGCCTACAGCAGGTCAAATATCTAGGCCTAATCTTAGCCAGAGGAACCAGGGCCCTCAGCAAGGAACGAATACAGCCTATACTGGCTTATCCTTGCCCTAAGACATTAAAACGGCTGCGGGGGTTCCTTGGAATCACCGGCTTTTGCCAACTATGGATCCCTGGATAGAGCGAGATAGCCAGGCCCCTCTATACTCTAATCAAGGAGACCCGGAGGGCAAATACTCATCTAGTAGAATGGGAACCAGAGGCAGAAACAGCCTTCAAAACCTTAAAGCAGGCCCTAGTACAAGCTCCAGCTTTAAGCCTTCCCACAGGACAAAACTTCTTTTTATACATCACAGAGAGAGCAGGGATAGCTCTTGGAATCCTTACTCAGACTCGTGAGACAACCCCACAACCAGTGGCATACCTAAGTAAAGAAGTTGATGTAGTAGCAAAAGTCTGGCTTCACTGTTTAAGGGTAGTTGTGGCGGTGGCCGTCTTAGTGTCAGAGGCTATCAAAATAATACAAGGATCCCACTGTCTGGACTACTCATGATGTAAATGACATACTAGGTGCCAAAGGAAGTTTATGGCTATCAGACAACCGCCTACTTAGATACCAGGCGCTACTCCTTGAGGGACTGGTGCTTCAAATACGTATGTGTGTGGCCCTCAACCCTGCTACTTTTCTCCCAGAGGATGGGGAACCAATCAAGCATGACTGCCAACAAATTATAGTCCAGATTTATGCCGCCCGAGATGATCTCTTAGAAGTCCCCTTAGCTAATCCTGACCTTAACCTATATATTGATGGAAGTTCATTTGTGGAGAATGGGATACGAAGGGCAGGTTATGCCATAGTTAGTGATGTAACTGTACTTGAAAGTAAGCCTCTTCCCCCAGGGGCCAGCGCCCAGTTAGCAGAACTAGTGGCACTTACCTGAGCCTTAGAACTGGGAAAGGGAAAAAGTATAAATGTGTATACAGACAGCAAGTATGCTTATCTAATCCTACATGCCCATGCTGCAATATGGAAAGAAAGGGAGTTCCTAACCTCTGGGGGAACCCCATTAAATACCACAAGGAAATTATGGAGTTATTGCACACATTGCAAAAACCCAAGGAGGTGGCAGTCTTACACTGCGGAAGCCATCAAAAAGGGGAAGGAGAGAGGAGAACAGCAGCATAAGTGTCTGGCAGAGGCAGGGAAATACCAGCAGAAAGGAAAGAGACAAAGAGACAGAAAGTCAGATAGAAAGAAAGAGAAAGAGAGAGACAAAGTCAAAGACAGAAGGAAAGAGAGAGATAGAAGTAGTCAAGAAAAAACAGCGTACCCTATTCCTTTAAAAGGCAGGGTAAATTTCTGTCTACCCAGCCAAGGCATATTCTTCTTATGTGGAACTTCAACCTATATCTGCCTCTCAGACAAGTCTGCAAGAAATAATGAAATCTATCTTTACTCTACAATCCTAAATAGACTCTTTGGCAGCAGTGACTCTCCAAAACCGCCAAGGCCTAGACCTCCTCACTGCTGAGAAAGGAGGACTCTGCACCTTCTCAGGGAAAGAGTGTTGTTTTTACACTAACCAGTCAGGGATAGTAAGAGATGCTACCTGGCGTTTACAGGAAAAGGCTTCTGAAATCAGACAATGCCTTTCAAACTCTTATACCAACCTCTGGAGTTGGGCAACATGACTTCTCCCCTTTCTAGGTCCTGTGACAGCCATCTTGCTATTACTCACCTTTGGGCCCTGTATTTTTAACCTCCTTGTCAAATTTGTTTCCTCTAGGACCAAGGCCATCAAACTATAGATGGTCTTACAAATGGAACCCCAAATGAGCTCAACTAACAACTTCTACCGAGGACACCTGGACTGACCCACTGGCCCTTTCGCTGGCCTAAAGAGTTCCCCTCTGGAGGACACTACAACTGCAGGGCCCTTTCTTCACCCCATCCAGCAGGAAGTAGCTAGAGCTATCATCGGCCAATTCCCAACAGCATTTGGGGTGTCCTGTTTAGAGGGGAGATTGAGAGGTGAAGCCAGCTGGACTTCCTGGGTCGAGTAGGGACTTGGAGAACTTTTCTGTCTAGCTAGAAAACTAGATTGTAAACACACCAATCCACGCTCTGTGTCTAGCTAAAGGTTTGTAAACGCACCAATCAGAACTCTGTGAAAACACACCAATCAGTGCTCTGTGTCTAGCTAAAGGTTTGTAAACGCACCAATCAGCACTCTGTGTCTAGCTAAAGGATTGTAAACGCACCAATCAGCACTCTGTAAAATGGACCAATCAGCACTCTGTAAAATGGACCAATCAGTGCTCTGTAAAATGGACCAATCAGCAAGATGTGGGTGGGGCCAAATAAGGGAATAAAAGCTGGCCACCCGAGCCAGCAACGGCAAGCTACTCGGGACCCCTTCCATGCTGTGGAAGCTTTGTTCTTTCGCTCTTCACAATAAGTCTTGCTGCTGCTCACTCGTGGTCCACACTATCTTTATGAGCTGTAACACTCACTGTGAGGGTCTGCGGCTTCATTCCTGAAATCAGCAAGACCACAAACCCACCGGGAGGAACAAACAACTCTGGACGTGCCACCTTTAAGAGCTGTAACACTCACTGCGAAGGTCTGCAGCTTCACTCCTGAAGTCAGCGAGACCACGCACCCACCAGAAGGAAGAAACTCTGGACACATCTGAACATCTAAAGGGAAAAACTCTGGACACACCATCTTTAAGAGCTGTAACACTCACCGCGAGGGTCCGCAGATTCATTCTTGAAGTCAGCGAAACCAAGAACCCACCGGAAGGAACCAATTCCAGACACAATGATTGTAAGTTTTCCAAGGCCTTCCCAGCCAGGCAGAACTGTGAGTCAATTAAACCTCTTTTCTTTATAAATTACCCCGTCTCGGACAGTTCTTTATAGCAGTGTGAGAATGGATTAATACATAAACATTTAGTGTGAAAAACTAAAATATGGAAGAGAGTTTTAAGAAGACCTAGAAACAGGGTATCATCTTTAAAATCTCTAAATTTTGCACATAATATAGATATTTGAGAAACTGAATTAGTTCCTTCTTTGGAAGTCATTGCAGTACTTTCTTAGTTCCAAAGTTTGCTTAATGTTTCATAATCTGTGGCCCTTACTTTTTAAAACTGTCAGATGCTCCATAGATGGTATAACTACTCCTTTACCAAGCTTTCAGTGTACTGATACAGAACTGACTGAAGGAGCAGCCAGAGGGTGGAAAATGCTACTAGGAGGAACTTAAAGAACAACAGAGCCAGAAAGTCAAGCTCAAAGTCAAACAGAAAAAGGCAAACATTAAATGCTGGAAACACCAGTTAGAAATACACTTTTGATGGGATTAGTGGCAAAATCTAAGTAATTCAGAGCTGGAAAGACAGGTATAGTAATTGGCAACATTCAAGCTAACTCTGATGTACCCATGGCTCATTTTCATCAGCCAATGAACTACCTGAAAGGTAAAAACTGATAATGGACACCAAGCTTAGTATACAATAAATAGTCAATAAATATTGTCTTCCCTCCCACTGCCATCTCTAGGTCATCAGAGAAGCTCTGTTCTTAATGTACAGCCATGCAGCATACAGTAGGTGGATGATTTAACTCTAACACAGACTGAAGTTCCATGTGTACGCACCTGATTGCCATAAGCATACAAAAAGTGGCTTCGGGGATGAAATACCATTCCAACGGGAGAAGAGAATGATGAAGGAAACCGAAAAATTGGAAATTTTGATTGTGAATTTGGTTCATTATTTCTCAGGGTGCTCACAGAGGCAATGGCAGTTTTCCTGACCTAGGTAAACAAAGAATGAGCAAGTCATAAGACTAGTCTGTGTTACAAATTTTAGAATTTCCTGTTACTTGCATTTTGATTAAGAGAGAGATACAATCACTAACACAACATAGAACTAGAAGGATTAGCAGTAATTGTTACCTCTTTACTCCACCACTCTGGCCCCTGCCACACACCCATCTTATAGTTGTTGAAAATGAAGTTTAGGAGATTAAATAACTTGTTGAAAGCTCTATAATTAACAGCAAAGAGAGGTTTATTATAGAATCACTGCTGAACTTGCCAGACAGACTCCAAAGCCCATGCTTATGACTATCATGCCAAAAGTGTGGATGCCTAAGCCACACCCCAGTTCTATTCAACCATTATTTTAAATGGGATCAGAATATGACACCTCAGGCCAGGCGCAGTCTTCAGCTTAAAATTATCTTTATATAAAAGTGGCTTGTAATCTCAGCACTTTGGGAGGCCTATGTGAGAGGATTGCTTGAGCCTAGGCATTTGAGAACAGCCTGGTCAACAAAGTGAGACCCAGTTGCATTAAAAAAAAAAATTAAAAATTAGCCAGGCATGGTGGCATGAACCTGTAGTCCCAGCTACTAATCAGGCTGGGGCAGAGGATCGCTTGAGCCAGGAGTTAGAGTCTGTGGTGAACTATGATCACACCACTGCACTCCAGCCTGAGTGAGAGTGAGACCATCTCAAAAGAAAAAAAAAAGAGATATGAAACCTCAAAATATGCCACTTTTGGCCAGGCGCAGTGGCTTACGCCTATAATCCCAGCACTTTGGGGGGCCGAACTGGGTGGATCACTTGAGGCCAGGAGTTCGAGGCCAGCCTGGACAACATGGCAAAACCCTGTCTCTACTAAAAATACAAAAATTAGCTGGCGTGGTGGCACACACCTGTAATTTCTGTTACTTGGGAGGCTGAGGTGGGAGAATCTCTTGAAACCGGGAGGCAGAGGTTGCAGTGAGCCAAGATCGCTCCACTGCACTCCAGCCTGGGTGACAGGGACCCTGTCTCAAAACAAAAAAATGCCACTTTTATATAAGGATAATTTTAAGCTGAAGACTGTTGAGATTCAACAGATGCAGAGAAAAAACTTTGGAGCCTTTTGTGTCTGACTAAAAGCAGGAACTGCTGGGAAATGAGGCTGACAGAAATTCCTCCTTGGGGCAGATCTACTCCTAGAAGGAAGAATGTAAATAAAACCTGTCCCAAATCCCTTCTCCAGAGGAGTTTTATACCCCTGAAGGAGAAGGAAAGACCACTCATACCTAGATTTACAAACATTATCAAAAACTTTCATATCTCCTGGCCAGGCGCTGTGGCTCATGCCTGCAATTCCAGCACTTTGGGACGCCAACGTGGGTGGATCACTTGAGGTCAGGAGTTCAAGACCAGCCTGGCCAACATGACAAAACCCCATCTCTACTAAAAAATACAAAAATTGACCAGGTGTGGTGGTGGGCACCTGTAATCCCAGCTACTTGGGAGGCTATGGCAGGAGAATCGCTTGAGCCTGGGAGGCAGAGGTTGCAGTGCGCCGAGGTTGCAGTGAGCCAAGATTGCACCATTGCACTCCAGCCTGGGCAGCAGAGCGAGACCCCATCTCAAAAAAACCCCAAAAAACCAACCAACAAAAAAAAATCGTATCTCCTGTTTGCTGTCCTGAAAACCCATTTATCTTTTTTTCTTTTTTTTTAAAAGCAATTTGTTTTTCCATAAATGGTTTTCTCCCTTTCCCCTTCACCTATTAAGATGGTACCTAACCGTCCAGGCTCGGTGGCTCACGCTTGTAATCCCAGCACTTTGGGAGGCCGAGGCGGGCAGATCACGAGGTCAGGAGATCGAGACCACGGTGAAACCCTGCCTCTACTAAAAATACAAAAAATTAGCCAGGCATGGTGGCGGGCGCCTGTAGTCCCAGCTACTCGGAGAGGCTGAGGCAGGAGAATGGCGTGAACCCGGGAGGCGGAGCTTGCAGTGAGCCGAGATTGCACCACTGCACTCCAGCCTGGGCAACAGAGGGAGACTCTGTCTCAAAAACAACAACAACAACAACAACAACAACAACAAAAAGATGGTACCTAACTTCCAAATTTTAACCTCATCACTGAGTTTCCCATGTGTGCACACTGCACATGTAAATAAACTGTTTTCTCCTATTAATATTTTTTTTTCAGTTTAATTTGCAAGGCTCCACTCATTGAACATACGAAGATGGAGGAAAGAGCTTTTTCCTTCCCTACAATCTTGACGATAGGGGCCGAACTTATGGTTTTATTTGTTTGTTTGTTTTTTTGTTTGCTTGCTTGTTTGTTTTCTCAGACTGGATTTTGCTCTGTCACCTCACCTGGTGTGCTGGAGTGCAGTAGTGCCTCACTGTGGTTTTGAAATCCTGGCCTCAAGCCTCCTGCCTCAGCCTCCCGAGTTGCTGGGATTACAGGCATGAGCCATCACAACTGTCAGTTTATGTGTTTTTTAATGGCTCTAAGAAGAATTCTAATTCACAGGTAGGGTTAAGGACGTTTGGAAGAAAAAAATATAGATCTGTGGCAATTACTTCCATTTTTTTTTCTGTTTAATTAACCATTTTATGGAATCTTAAATTTGTATAGAAAAATCCCAGCTTATATTCTTTAGAGAATTAGCAAGGGAGAATCACTATGCATACAGCATCACGTTTTCCATTTTCATCAAAATGAATGACGACCAGGTGAGAAATCTCTAAAGTGTCAAGCTATATTATTGATTTTAAATAATTTTGCTATAGCCAATTTTATAGGTTCTATTGCCAGACATAACAAGAACTTGAAAATAACTTTTGCTAAGGTAAATTTTTATTGTTGTCATGTCAAGATAAATTCCCTCTGGGATATAAGGCCTACCTTGTTATAGAAGAGGTAAACTCCAGTACCACGCTCTTGGTCAACAAGAAATGTTAGCACAGTTGGAAAAATTTTTATTCCTTTAAAAATGTGAGGTAAGCAGGGTACCCATTCAAGAAATGGTTCCTGACTATAAAAACAAGAGCTTGACTATAAAAAAAAGAAGGGAAAAATTAATGCTGTTTTTGAAATATAAGTTCTAATTCTCTTAGTGAAACTAGCCCACTTGTTCATAGAAGTAATATTTACAGTTTTTTGAACAAACATAGAAATTAACCTTCCCTCCCTGGTCTTAAAACCCACTGGTCTTTAAACTCCCTGGTCTTAAAACGTTTTTCTCATCTGAATTCCTTCTTTAGGAAATCGACCCTTAGGCAAGGAACTGAAACTCAACGGATCACTGCACCCAGATAATGAGAAGTCAGACTCCTCATCCATCATGATTGCTTCTTCACCCATCTCTAATTCCTGTTTTCCTACCTTCCTTTCTGTGTAAATCCCCCAATTTTACTCAGAGAGACAGGTTTGAGATTTTTATCTACCATTCTCCTTGGCTGCAGCACCTGATTAAAGCCTTCTCCCTGGCAATACTTGTTGACTCAGTGACTGGCAGTCTATACAGCAAGCAGCAGGACCTAGACTGAATCCCTGGTGTTTTAGTAACAGTAGGAAAATAAATTAACAACCATAGTGTTGCTCTGACTGATCACAATTGTTTTTTAAAAAATCCTTAATGTGGCTGGGTTTGGTGCTCACGCCTGTAACCCCAGCACTTTGGGAGGCCAAGGGGGGTGGGTCACGAGGTCAAGAGATCAAGACCATCCTGGCCAACATGGTGAAACCCTGTCTCTACTAAAAATACAAAAATTAGCTGGACATGGTGGAGCGTGCCTGTAGTCCCAGCTACTTGGTATGCTGAGGCAGGAGAATTGCTTGAACCTGGGAGGCAGAGGTTGCAGTGAGCCAAGATCATGCCACTGCGCTCCAGCCTGGAGACAGAGCGAGACTCTGTCTCAAAAAAAAAAAAAATCCTTAATGTCTGTGCCTCTCTTCTGAGGGATATGAGCCCAGAAAACATTGCAATGCATGTCTTTCTGGTACGAATTGTTTTTCTAGAACCATTGCTTAGGTCCTGATTAACATAATTAGGTAAGTACTAATAAACCCAAGTAGAAACACCACTGGGAGCAAAGAGTGATTGTGAAGCCTTTCAGTCTGTAGAATTGCCATTTTTTAGATTAATCCCAATCCATGAAGTCCCCAATCCCACAACAAAATTTCTTAACTTATAAAATATTCAATATCATACCTCACTTAGGGTTCTGTTTCTCTCAAAGGTAACTGTAACATAATCAACTGTGAAATAAATACAAGGGTACAGGAATTATGAGCATATCTGTATTTCTAAAACTGGAAGGGTTAGTCTTAATAGTCTTCATGAAAATCATAGAAATTATTTTTGCAAGTAAACTTATGGTAAATGAAAATAATAATAATAATAAAAGTTATGTATCATCAAGTAATGTATACTCAAATCTAATTTTCTTATCCCTATTTCAAGTGTACCTATTGTCTCAGATTTAAATTAGAATGTTTTTTATTTTAGGCCATTAACTTATATAAAGCAAACTTGTCTTTATATTTTGTTCTAGTTTTATTTTATGTCATTTTATTTAATCTAGTTGTAACTGAGTAGCTTAGATTCAAAGTGCATTTTAAAATTTTTTTTATTCCTTTCTTGATTTTTGCCTTGAAAACATACTTTGGAATTTTGTTTCCCTCCCTTCCCACTCGACACTCCATGCACTGCTGGCTTATCTAATTATGTTCTTGCTTAGAAGTTCCAGGGGCTAATTTTGAAACAAATCAGACATGGAGACTCAGTTGTAAAATTCCAGAGATTACCTCAAGGAGGTTAGTCTACAACCTGGCCATCGTGAAGATGACACCAGCCTATGTTCCAGGTGGAGCATGACTCAAGATAGCCACTGGGACAGGACACACAGACCTTGCACCCAGCATCACTCCTGAATGCCTCCCACCCCAAGTTCCCCCTTCTAAACTCCTCTCCCCAGCCTAAAGTTTGGAATGGTCTTTTAAAGGCGTGAGCCTGGCCACTCTCCCAACTGCTGGCTTTTGGAATAAAAGTCACTTTCCTTTCACTGCATCTCATCCTTGTTCATTTGGCTTTATATGTGGCAAGCAGCCAAGCTTGCATTCATTACAAATTTGGTAGTCCCTTTAGGGAGTCTGCATTTTGAGTGGTCTAGTCTGTCAACCTGGTTTGCAACGAGTGGGGCAATTGGCCGCAGCAGTGTGTCAGGGCTTTCCTATTCATGCTACTGGATGGGACAAGAGTTGCTCATGAATATTAGCTGCTGATGGCTAGCTGACCCTGCAGCTGGGGCTCTGGGCATTTTCCTGGCAGCTGCTGAGATACTTTAGTCTCAGGAAATCTCCCTTCTCTCCCTGTCATGGCGTTAGCTGCCTACTACACTTTGCTGGTGCAGGGAAAGTGACAAGTGAAGAAGCTAACAGACTTCAGAACTGGATAAGTCAACTGGAATGCACCCAGGTCTCCTCTGTCTCTTCTGTGGTAACACTTGAGCTCTGCTCCATTTGGATGTAGCTGCTTGCGACATTGTCTGGGCAGGTACATCATCTTTATCTGTGGCACCACTTGAGCTTTGTTCTGTTTTGACCTAGCTGCTCATGGGGCCATCTGAAGTTGAGACAAGGTTTCAGGACTTTTATCTAGTCCCCTTGATGGGGAATCAGCCTGGGAGTGCACCATCTGAATCTGTGTATGTATGTGATCTACATTTGGGCCCTTATCTACTTGCAACTTTCTTTCCTTCTTTCTCTACCCTTTAAGGCAGCCTGTCTAAGCCCCCCACTCAATCTAGGGATCCAACCCTGAAGTAGAACAGCTTTTGTCACCCTGGTTCTTGGCTGGGTTGCTCTTTCTCGGACCCCAAAGTACTTCTCAGAGCTGTGCCAAATCTTATGGGGGAAAGAAGCATGTGAATTCTTCTGTGGGTTATCTAAATGGGCCTGTATCCCACTTACGGTTTTCAATGTTATTTGTCGGAAATACCTGGGATAAATGTTTAAACAGTCCCAACTCCAATTCTTTTGCCCTTTCTGTCCACTTGTTTTGCCATCTCATTTGTTGCCCTTCCATTACTGCTTACTGGGATTGCAGCAGGACCTGAACTTAGATTAAGGTTGATGTGTTAAAAAAAAGGCTATATTGGTCATCGCCAGTCATTAGACTGTTGGGGAAATTAATTCTTTTACATGTTTGGCTCTCCTGACTGTGTGGCAAAATTTACACAGGCATGCCTATTGGGACCATGAATGGTACCATCAACACTGGTTGTGTAAAATAAGGAGGATTCACCCAACTCCTGGCAATCTAGTTGCAGGGAATTATTGATACAGAGGCAAAAGCAAGGCATCAATATAGGCTGCTCCTCTGCTCACTAAAGGCCCCTGATTTTGTCATCCTCTTTGGGACTCCAGCTGGTCACATATTATGGTCCATTTCTGTGCACATTTTAAACTGAGGGGCAAGTTATAGCAAAAAAAATTCAGAGCTCACATGGTTAATTTGCAACTATAAAGTTAATCAGAGTTCTAAAGTTCTCTATCTTCTTTTTTTTTTTCTGCCTGCCTTGAATCTGCTTTGAATCTGCTTTTACTAAGCTGTGGTGCTAAGACTCATTATTTATGTTCTAACTGAAATGTAAACATTGGAAGCTCATTTGGAATGGAAGAAAAAAAGGATAAAAGAGACTTTTAAAAACTGAACTGCCACATGAAATTTAAATTAGTTTTTTCAAATTCTGTAAGGAATGTCAATGGTATGGAACCAAAAAAGAGCCCGTATAGCCAAGACAATCCTAAGCAAAAAGAACAAAGCTGGAAGCATCATGCTACCTGACTTCGAACTATACTACAAGTCTACAGTAACCAATACAGCATGGTACTGGTACCAAAACAGACATCTAGACCAATGGAACATAACAGAGACTTCAGAAATAACACCACACATCTACAACCATCTCATCTTCGAAAAACCTGAGAAAAACAAGCAATGGGGAAAGAATTCCCTATTTAATAAATGGTGCTGGGAAAACTGGCTAGCCATATGCAGAAAACTGAAACTGAACCCCTTCCTCACACCTTATAGAAAAATTAATTCAAGATGGATTAAACACTTAAATGTAAAACCCAAAGCCATAAAAATCCTGGAAGAAAACCTAGGCAATACCATTCAGGACATAGGCATGGGCAAAGACTTCATGATGAAAACACCAAAAGCAATTGTAAGAAAAGCCAAAATTGACAAACAGGATCTAATTAAACTAAAGAGCTTCTGCACAGCAAAAGAAACTATCATTAGAGGGAACAGGCAACCTACGAATGGGAGAATATTTTTGTAATCTACCCAAGAATCTACAAAGAATCTACAAGGAACTTAAACAAATTTACAAGAAAAAAAATCCCATCAAAAAGTGGGCAAAGGATATGAACAGACACTTCTCAAAATAAGACATTTATGCAGCCAAGAAACATATGAAAAAAGAGTGCAACATCACTAATCATTAAAGAAATGCAAATCAAAACCACAATGAGATACCATCTTATACCTGTCAGAATGGTGATTATTAAAAAGCCAAGAAACAATAGATGCTGGCAAGGCTGTGGAGAAATAGGAACGCTTTTACACTGTTGGTGGGAATGTAAATTAGTTCAGCCATTGTGGAGACAGTGTGGCAATTCCTCAAGGATCTAGAACCAGAAATGTCATTTGACCTAGCAATCCCATTACTGGGTATATACTCTAAGGAAAATAAATCATTCTACTATAAAGGCACATGCGCATTTGGGCCCTTATCTACTTGCTACTGTATTGCAGCACTAGTTACAATAGCAAAGACATGCAACCAACCCAAATACCCATCAATGGTAGACGGGATAAAGAAAATGGGTACATGTACACCATGGAATACTATGCAGCCCTAAAAAGGAATGAGATCATGTCCTTTGCAGGGACATGGATGAAGCTGGAAGCCATAATCCTCAGCAAACTAACACAGGAACAGAAGAAAACCAAACACCGCATGTTCTTACTCATAAGTGGGAGTTGAACAGTGAGAACACATGGACACAGGGAAGGGAACAACACACACCAGGGCCAGTTGGCAGGTGGGGGGCAAGGGGGGAGAGAGCATTAGGACAAATAGCTAATGCATGTGGGGCTTAAAACCTAGATGACAGTTGAAAGATGCAGCAAACCACCATGGCACATATATACCTATGTAACGAGCCTACACGTTCTGCACTTGTATCCTGGAACTTAAAGTAAAATAAAAAACAAAACTGAACTGCCGTAAAGACTGCTTTAGCCAAATTTTGGTCCATTGCCTTTCTTGGATTACCTACTAAGGCAAACAAAGTTCAGCCATGTGAACAGATTCCAATTTTGTCACAAAAATAATTCAGATCCAGCTATCTTTTATAAAATGATGAGATTATATTGCTATCTTGTGGCTAGAATTCTAAGGTAAAAGCTATTGGATATTTGTGTGTGCATATACATGTTTAGATATATTTATGTGATGTTGATGTATTATGTGATATGTCATATCTGGCACACTACCAAGCTGGCTTATAAGTAAATGAGTACTCATAAATGAAATCCAAAAGCTCTTCAAGTGCACATGCATCTTTGATAAATAAAACTGGTTTTAAATATGATTAATAAAATTAACATAGAAATGTCTTCAGAAGTGTCAGCATACATTTTTGTCTGAGTTTACTGATTAGATATGTTTTGTATTTGCCTCTGCTAGATAGATTAAGCTGTCTGGATTTGGCATAAAAGTTATAAGGCTATAAACCCAGCCAAAAGCAGAATGATCTTTGTTTGTATGATTTTTTTTGATAAATAAGACTAATGTAATATTGGTGGTTCAATAAAAACAGCTGAATCTTCTAAGTTGTCAGCAAAATGCCCATGTGTTTAACTTTAAGGTTCTTAGGTGAATCCCTGATGTTTACAAGCTTTAAAAATGGTTAACAGGAAAATAACTTTAAATGATGACTAGTGCTGTCTAATATCTCCATTTTCAAAAGTAGTCTAGATAAATGATTAAAAATGAAAAAATCAAGTTACGTGTAAATGGGGTAAATGCTTGCAGGTAAACTTTAAATGAAATTTAAAATCTTAAAATTATTTTGGATGCTTATTTAGATGTCTGGGTCATTTCCAACTAAAAACGGGTTATGATGTGGGAAAACATGTTTATAAAACTTGTAGAATTATTTCATCTATAAAATGTTAACATCTGATAAACAGTTCAGGATTTCTTGCTTCCTAAGCTTTCACTAAAGTTTAAAGTTATTAAAAATAAAAATACTAGGTAATATATAATTCTGTAAGTTGTGTTCTTATTAAAATAATTTTGTATGAGGAAATATCTTATATGGTAAATTTCTGTCCTAAAGTAAAATGGTTGTTTAGGAAAGAGATAATATAGGACAAGATAGAAAGTCTAAGCATGCCATAGATGGCCTATGTCATATGCCATATCCATGGATGGCCTATATCAGATGTAAGATTTTACATCTTATCAAGATAATTTCTATGTTGTCTTTATTAGATTTTTGATGGCTTAAAAAACCTCAGATTTAAAAGGGTTAAGGTTTTTACAGCCACATAACCTTCTATGTTGCCCTTAAAGTCTTTTGATTATCACTTTGGTTAGATGAATATTGTTTTACAATGACCTATCATTCTATTTTGACCAAATGTTTTGAGCCTTTTAACATCTTTCACAAACGTCCTTGAAATCAAATCCTAAATTAAATCTCTGACCTCTTTCTTGGGCTCATCAAAGCTATAAAAATTAATCAATGCAAGTCTGTAAATCTTTTTATGGCTTCCAGTCAGGTCATAGACTCCAGTATCACCATCTCCAGCCTCTTGAAAATGTCCTTAACAGGTGCCATTAACTAATCCATGTGCTGTTAAGTTACAGGGCTTTGACTCCTAGATGGACATACCTCATCTAAAGAAGACGCTGACTCTGCCAGTATCTGATACCAATCTCAAGTCAACCAAAGCCTCATCTTTAGACCCAGACAAAGGCAACAATCAAAGTATACTGCCTTAATAGGACACAGGACAAGCCTGTATTAAAAAACATTAAGATTCATTTACTAATTCTGCCCCATCTGAATTAATATAATTTATTCTGTGCCTTAATTCTAAATAATTTAAATGTTTAGCTACCTGTGAGCTTCCTTTCCTGTCATTCTCAGAATGAGGCAAGGCTTATGACCATTTTGTTTGAAATGTTGCCAATTATGTTTTACTTTACCTCCAAAACTGAAACTATCCAATCCTTCTAGGCCCAGGGACTATTGCAGAAGTGGTGGTCATGTGATATTATAAGGGCTGGTTTTGAGGCATAAACTTAGTTCAGAACCTCCAAATCAAGGACAGGCACACAGATGCCTAAACAGCTAAACAAAATGCTTGTGTTTTGTATAACTAATTGCTACAAGCTAAGACTATAGCAGCCCAATGCATAAAATATATACATAAGTCAATTTTATAACTTTGTTTTTGGCTTTTGGTTTTCAGCTCTTATGCTGTTTAAAAGGAATTTTAAGGGTTAATGAGTGCCTGCCCACCTCCATTCTAATCTGGCCTGAAATGTTTAATTGGCTATAAGTCTTTTGACTCTAAGTTCCTTGGCCATAGGTGTCCCACTGGAGGGCATGACAGACCTGGGAAAGGTAGTCATACCACCCCAGCATTAGTATGGGACAAAGTAAAACTTGGCCATTGATACTGCCTCTGGCATATCTTTACCAAAAAAGAGGAAATATAAACCAAAAAATAAAATACTGAGTCCCCTACCAACTGAACAAACCCTCCCCCTTGGCCAAGGGAACCCCAAGAAAAACCCTTAAAAACTTAATCCCCAGCCATGATGGGATGGAAAGTCAGGCATGCCTCATTATATTCCCTCCATTTTATGATTTAGACACTACTATTGACCACTATTAATTATCATAAGACTGACAGAACAGGTTCTTTATGGCAATAAGCTATCAAATTATAAACAGGACCTAAGCCCATGCCAGAAAACGATTAAGTCTCCCCACAAGGTAAACGGAGTCATATGTTATATGCATGTTCGTTCAATATGCATGTGTCAGGACCACTTTCATAAATATTCATAGGTCCTCCTATAACTTGTTCAATTCGTACGTTTAGCCAACGTTTCATCATGTCCCCACAGGACCCCTGAGCATAATGGACAATGGAGAACAAACTTACTTTCTTATTGATATGGGGGGCTATATATTCTATAGTTAACATCTGCCTATCCTCTGATTCAAAAAAGACTGTGATGGTTGCAGGAATGTCAGGGCAAACTGTGACTCACCCCTTCCTACAACTTGTAGATTGTCATCTGAAAGACCACAATGACAGGAAAAACTAAAGAGAGAAGCCACACTCTAAAAAAATTGCATTGCCAAAATATGTCAAGAAAGTAATTTGACTTGGGATGAATTTTTCCCATTGCCTTACTCTGAGTCAAGGTAACATCCCGAAGTGGGAGCAGGTTGAACCCTTTTGAGATTGTTTATGGGAGACGCTCCCTGGGAGTCCCGCCTTTAGACCTAATAAATGAATTAAGAATTAAACAATACATACACCAGTTAGGACAGACATTACTAACCATGCATCAGTTTTCTGCTTCCAGGTCCTCATACCCTAGGGGCAAGCCCCTTCACCCTTTCCACCAAGAGTTAAGGTACTGCTAAAAAGTCTTGGAAAAAAACAAGGACCTGACTGGCAGCTAGTCAAAAATGGATGGGACTTATGATGCACTGCTGACCATGCATTCATCTGTCAAACTGGCTGGAATTAAACCCTGGATACATCACACTCAGGTGAAGGCTCATCCTCAACCTGATACCTCAGACAACCAGCCTGCCTGTTCATGTGTGCCAAGAAAAGACCTAAAGCTGTATTAAAGAAAAAAAACACACAGATAAGTACTATCCTTTTCTTAACATGAACTTAACAAGTTTTGTAGTCATGAATACATTATTTATCTCTGCTGAAACTAACCTTTTTGCTGAATGGGCACAAATGGTGGCTTCCCTCCAGAATAGAACAGACTGCTGAGTCTGTGGGGAATTGCCCTTTCTTCCACTGCAGGCTTGCCGTGGTGCGTGCAAGCCACCAACCTAAGTACTTGGAGTCATTTCTATACCTGGTATGGGGCAATTCACCCATTTCCCTTTCATGGCCATAACTCATCTCATCATAAGCCTCATGAATTTCCTATTTGCCAGGAAATCAGGAAACATGTTTTTCAACTAAGTTGCAACCAGGTCAATGTCATCTCCACCTTGGGATATGCTGTACACAGTGGTGTCAGATGGCTGACAGAGGTACAAATACAGGTAATAGGTCAAGCACCACTGTGCACTGAACACCACAACCGCAGCACACCTCAAGCTAACACCTGTAACATGGGATGGTTACCTCCCCAGGAATGTAATCAAACTCTTCAACTGACTAGCAACTATATGGCTGGGGTAGCAAAACAGCTCCTTCTCACATGGAGTCAACCCTTCCCCCGGGGCTGCTTATGGGCCTGTGGCACTCACAGTTGGCCCTTCCTATCCTTTGATTGGACTGGCAGATGCATCTGGGAGCACCCTTACCTACCAGGATGAATCCTGTTCCATCTAGACTCTGCCTGCCAACTGGGAAAGCACAAACGCCAGACACCACTGTCAAAAATGGGCATCCTGGTGGTTTTACCCACTAGCCATCTTTTTCCCCCAGGCAGTGACCATAGATGTAGAATTACAAGTAGAGGCCCTGGCTAAGCATATGGCTGCTGCCTTTAATAACACCCACCATGCCATCACTCTTCTTACTGAAGAAACTTCCAGATTAGGCAAGTGGCCTTACAAAACTATATGGCTGTAGATATCCTGACTGCAGCCTAAAGTGGCACTAGTGCATTAAGACTGTTGTCTATATATACTAGATTATTCTCACAATATAACCTAACCTATGCATGCATTGGATACTCATATTCTGCTATAGATACCTTCTCCCAATAACGGATTGGTTTAGTCAGCCCCTTAGTGCAGGGAAGACTTTCATATATAGCACGATTGGTATTTTGCTCATTGTCCTCTTCGGCTGCTGTGGATTTTATTGCTATTATATACTCTGCACAAGGATGCAGGAAAGATGTTCTCAGAAACTCCTATGTCCCTGCACCATAATGCTCCCGCAAATTCCTACTGCAAGTCTAGGAACTCAAGAATATTTCCAACTCCAGGTGGACAAATTCCATTCTGGTACCTCCTAACTATGGCCCTTCTCAGCGGGAAATAGCCAGATCGACTATGCCACCCACTTTCCATAGAAATGGAATGGAATTTCACAATGGAAAGTTGCAACTGAGTGGCTTAGGTTAAAAATGCATTTTTGAAACTGTTTTTTCTTTTCTTGCTTTTAGCCTTGAAAGCATACTTTGAAATTCTTGGTTTCCCTCCCTTCCCACCCGACACTCCCTTGTACTGCTGGCTTATCTAATTATGCGATTGCTTAGAAGTTCCAGGGGCTAATTTTGAGACAAATCAGACATGGAGACTCAGCTGTGAAATTCCAGAGATTACCTCAAGGAGGTTAGTCTACAACCTGGCCATCGTGAAGATGACACTAGCCTATGTTCCAGGTGGAGCATGACTCAAGATAGCCACTGGGACAGGACACACAGACCTTGCACCCAGCATCACTCCTGAATGCCTCCCACCCCAAGTGCCCCTTTTTAAACCCTCCCCAGCCTAAAGTTTGGAATGGTCTTAAAAGACCATTCCAAAGGCTGAGCTTGCATTCAGTTACACATATATGTAAAAGTCTCTTAATACAGTATATCTTTAACCAAAATTTACCTTCAAAGTGCTCTCTGTTAGCAAAACATCTTTCATTATACCACAGTTTTCCTTTCACATAGTCAACCTACATAAATAAATAAAATATCACTTAGCCAATATGTAGACTTAAGATATCTTAAGATATAAGATAGAAAAAACTAAAAAATTTCAAAGTTTGATAGTTCAGGAATGTGAGGCAAAGAGACAAAAATTGTATGCAAATAAAAGACTGTAGAATGAGGACAGGAAACAGGAATATACATTTTGAACAATGCACAAAAAAGGCATAAAGAGAAAAGAAATCACACATGAATTAGCATATGTTAATGGAGGATGCCCTTGTCTATGAACTGTCTTTCAGAAGCTACCAGAAGCCATTAGTCTTTCAGCACAGTTACAATGGGTCACATATTTATCTTTTATTCCTCATTAGTGGCAGCTGGGTTTAAGGAGCATTCCCAGAAGCCTGACAGCAGCAAGAAGAAACAGGAAAAAGGTTTTGAAAATTGGTCATGAGAGACAAGCTTCAATATATTGAATATGTTGGATATAAATGTTGGATATTAATTAAATGCAACAGTTTGAGATTATTTTATTATAGGAAGATTCTGACCTTCAAATTTCTGTTGGGATGTAAGAAAGACTTTTTTACATTTTTATAGACTAATAATAAAATCTGTATGATCTGTGTGCAAAAGCCTTTGCTGATATCTAATGACAAAACTTGAACACATGAGGAGACACTTCTTTTTTTTTTTTTTTTTTTTTTAAATTGAGAAGGAGTCTTACTCTGTTGCCCAGGCTGGAGTGCAGTAGCACAATTTCGGCTCACTACAAACTCCACCTCTCAGGTTCAAGTGATTCTCCTGCCTCAGCCTCCTGAGTAGCTGGGATTATAGTCACACGCCACCACGCCTGGCTAATTTTTTTTGTATTTTAGTAGAGACAAGGTTTCACCATGTTGGCCAGGCTGGTCTCGAACTCCTGACCTCAAGTGATCCACCCCCCTCGGCCTCCCAAAGTGCTGGCATTATAGGTGTGAGCCACTGCGCTGACCGAGGAGTCACTTTATTTATTGATTGATTGATATGGGGTCCTGGCTCTGTCACCCAGGCTAGAGTGCAGTGGCATGATCGTAGCTCACTCCAGCCTCAAACTCTTCAGCTTAATAAATCCTCCCGCCTCAGCCTCCCAAACAGCTGGGACTACAGGTGTGCACCACCATGCCTGGGTAATTTTTTAATTTTTTGAGGGAAAGGAGTCTCACTATATTGCCCAGGCTAGTCTAGAGCTCCTGAACTTAAGCAATTCTCCTGCTTTGGCTTTGTAAAGCACTGGGACTATAGGCATGAGCCACTATGACTGGCCGCCAACGAATTTTTTTAAGTATCTACATTGTGCCATGTACTGTACTGAGATTTTTCATATGTAATGTTACTTAATCACCTCATTTCTAAGAGGTAGATATTGTTATGCTCATTTTAAAATGAAGAAATTGAGGTCCAGAGAGTTATACAACTTGTTCAAAATTTTATGTTACATGGCTGATAAGTTAGTCCAAAATTTGAATCCAGTCTGTCTTCATTTATTCACTCATTGACTCAATAAATATTCATTGAGACTGCCTATGTGCAAGGCCGTGTGGTAATTTATCGGGATACAATAGTAAATAAGATAGATCTTGACCGGAACCTAAAATCTTGTGAGGCTAGTCTGGGGGCTCAACAGACAAAATAGGGTGATAATGATAGGAATTTGTGCTGAGAACTTGGAGCATGCACAGGAGGAGCACCTTGGTGGTCAGGGAGGGATTTCTGAAGAATGAGTTGAAATTCTCTAAGTGAAATAGGAGGAAGCAGTGCATGCTAAGAAGACAAAACATGTTATGCAAAGGAGTCGAGGTGTGAGAAATGTTAGCACATTCAGGGAAGGTGAGTGGTTTAGCATGGCCAGGCAGGATGGCTGCAGTAGGGGCAGGATGGCTGCAGGTAGAGGCAGGCACACTCAGGCTGAAGCAGTAAGCATTTTGTGTGTCACAAGAATTTTAATTTTATCCTTAAAGAAGTGATCCATATTCCTTGCTGTTGCCACTAAACAGATTTTGGTGGATAACTAACAGATTTTATCTCATGCCAAATCCCTAATTTAGGGATCTTATACTTCCTATTACCTTTGACTGGAAATGCTGTGTCAAAATAATTATTCCAAGTTACTCAAGTTTCTGCTTAAATTTCATCTCTTTGAAAAGGCCTGCTTTAATCACCCTATTTAAAACAGAATATTATCTTCCCCTCACTCTTTCTCTTACTCTGCTTTAATTTCAACGAGCACTTATTACTATCTAAAATCACATTATGTATTTGTTTGTGTATTTTTTAATGATCTAGCCCCCTCAGTTGAATGTTAAGCTACATGAAAGTAGGGACTTTGTCTCGTTCACTATGGAATCATTCTTGTCTGAATAAGCATGGAATATAGGAAGTGCTCAACAAATATTTGTTGAATGGATGAGACTTACTGAATGAATAAATCATTAAGTATTCACATGTTCAACTACCTGTCTAAACACCCACATATATCTCATTCTGAACACCTTTGCTTCAATCATTAGTAAAAGAGGTCTTATTTAAAGATAGATCCTTAAACTCTTAAAAATAATTTCACTTTTTCCCCTCCCTCCACTCCCCAATCCCAGCACCCTTCTACCTTTGGAACACTGTATTTCCCCTCTCCCTCATCACTATCAACCATCAATGAGTTTTACTAAGATATTTTAGTTTAATAGGACTTATTATAATATCCTTGCTAATTATAAAAACTTCCATGAAGGACAATTCGTGATTATTTTTTAAAAGTGCATAAGTATTTATCCCTTGATCTCCCAATCAAGTTCTAGGATGTATTGTATCTATATGTCTGGACACATAAAATTTCTAGGTACAAAATTATTCATGGGAGCATTGTTTGTAATAGCAAAATATTGGGAAATTACCCAAGCATCCAGCAATGGATGATAATTTAAATAAACTCTGGCTAGTTCATACAATGGAATACTTGTAGCTGGAAAAAAGAAACAAAAAACAAAAGAAAAAGAGGCTATTCTCCATTTACTAATATGGATTTTTTCCTATGATAATTATTGATAAGTGAAGAAAATAATTTAGCATACTTTGTATATAGTATAATAAAAGGAAGAAAAGTATATATATTCATTATATTCATAATTATTTGAATTTCCATTAGAAAATGCTGAAAAGATATAAAATAAAAAAAGATTACCTGTAAGGGACAGGGAAAAATCAGGGTGAATATACAGAGAGGTGGGATAGAGACTTCTCAGTCTATATCTTTTTGTAACTTTTTTAGTTTTTAACTATGTGAATGTATTACCTATTTGAACATCATAATTTTTAGGTGTTGAAAATGCTCATTTCCCTTGCAACATGTCCTTTCTTGCTATAGGCTGTATGGGAGGGAGGTGGGGCCTTTGGGAGGTGATAAGGTGAATGGAATTAGTACCCTTATTTGATGTGGGGGTGATTCAGTGAATCGAATTAGTCCTCTTATAAAAGAGAACCCAGGGAGATCCCTTGCCCCTCTGCCACGTGAGGGCACAGTGAACAGATGGCTGTCTATGAACCAGGAAGGCAGCCCTCACCAGACACTGAATTTGCCTGTGCCTTTATCTTGGACTGTCCAGGCTCCAGAACTGTGAGAAATAAATTTCTGTTCTGTATAAGCCACCCAGTCTATGGTAATTTTGTTATAGCAGCCCACATTGGCTAAGATGTCTCTGTTCAAAAATCCTTATCTAAGCTGGGTGCGGTGACTCACGCCTGTAATCCCAGCACTCTGGGAGGCCAAGGTGGGTAGATCACTTGAGGTCAGGAGTTTGAGACCAGCCTGGCTAACATGGTGAAACCCTATCTCTACCAAAAATACAAAAATTAGCTGAGCGTGGTAGAACACACCTGTAATTCCAGCTACTCAAGAGACTGAGGCAGGAGAATTGCTTGAACCCAGGAGGTGGAAGTAGCACTGAGCCGAGATCACCACTGCACTCCAGCCTGGGTGACAGAGGGAGAGTGTCTCAAAAAAAAAAAAAAAAAATCCTTATCTAGTACTCCATTTTGATTTATATGGATAGACAGAAAACACACGAATAAATATGAGATAAAATGAGAGAAACAGCCAAGCATTTCTTATCACTAGTCCTCTCCTCATTTTCTTCCCCTTTATTGAAATGTCTGTTCTTTTTCATTTGTTTTATTAAAGTTCTTTCTTGAGTATTTTCCTTAGTTGGGATAACCAGGTCATAAACTTTTTTAATCTGAAAGATGAATAATCTCTTGTCTGGAAATAGAAATTCTGGACTTTGGTTCTTTTGTCTTAAGTAGACGGTAGATGTTGATTTCACGGTCTTCAAGCTTCTACTGTTGTATAAACAAAATCTAATACCAGTGAGGTGTATTTTGCTTTTGCTCTTTCTGTTTGGATACTTGTAATATTTCCCCCTTAACCTTAAAACTGAGGAATATATTCCTTGGATATGCCTACATTTTTTCAGTGCTCCCTGGAATTTAGTGGATTGTAATATATAGCCTTGGAATTTTCTTAATCTCAGTTAATGTTCTTTCATTTTTTTTTATTATTGCCTGTCTTATATCTGTTCCTTTTTAAATCCATCTGAAAACTCTTTTGCTCACCTGTTAGCCCTTCTGGATCTCTCCTCAAAGGCTCACTTTTGCCCTTGTGATTTCTAGTGATGTTCCTTAGATGGTTTGAGAAGTTTCTTCATCTTGATTTTCCATGCCACTACTCTGCATTTAAACAGTGGCCATTCTATCTTTCAATTTTTTCCATTTTTAATGGAAATTTTGGTATTCAGTCCCAGGAAGTATTTTTATGCTGCACTTGAAGCTCTTTATTGATATTGACTGTGTTCTTGCTAATACCTCAGTGCCAATGATGGTAATCACAGAGTAGGTGCTCACTGGGTATCTGTGAAATGATTTTATTTAAAAATGTTCTCGTTCAATTGTTGCCTTATCCACCAGCGACTCTAGTTTTATTCTAATGATCTTTGCTCTCAGAATGCCAGGCTACCTTAAGTGTGCTTTGAAGAGAGGGCTCAGGTATGGTTTGTGGAGCACCTCGAATTTTGACAATTGGAATAATAGATGGCAAAGTGGTCTCTAGCCCTCTGGGCTGCCATGCCACCACCTTGGAAACAGAAGGGGTTCCCCTCTTTCCAGGTCTCCTTCAACCTGCCTACCTCAGGCACAGGGAGAATGCAGCTCTCCCGGTAGGCCCATCTCTAGCCTTACTCTCAGCCACACTCCCAAAACTGAGAAAACCCTTCCCTAGGATTTCGCGGAGCTCTGCCAGCCAAACTCCCTCCAGAATCCTTCCCCTTCCCAGTCCTCTACTCCCCGCTCTGTGTTGCCAGCACTTTGTTCTCAGGTAAACCATGAGTGAGGTAACGACATGCCAGATCTCCTCAGTGAGATTCCTCAAAGCAGGCTCCCAGTGAGCCCAGCTGTCCAGTGGCCCCAGCAGCCTTTTTTGACTTAGCAGGGCAGGTAGGCTGAAGATGAAAGCTAAAGGGAGTTAAAGGTCACAGTCTCCTCCATCCATTTATGTTACTTTTTGTGTGATTCTTCTTTAGGTGTAACTTTTTAAAATATATATTATCTTTTCTTCAGTTTCCTATAATGTTCCTTTCCACTTATTGTAATTGCTGAGATATTTGGATTTATTTCTACTGTTTTACCTCATAGTTTTTCTATTCTTTTACCTTTATCTCTCCTCTCCTTTCTTCCTTTTTGTAGAATAGATGGATTATTCTTTAATCTTGTTTTCCTTCGTCTGGTGGTTTGGAAGTTTTAGGTTATATTCTTTTTGTCTTATTTTAGTTTTTTGGTAATTATCCTTCAATTCTTAACATATATGCTGAATTGCACATTTTTCTAACAAATTCTTAACTTATTCCCCATATTGGTTCTCCTTACAAAGATCTTAAATACTTTATTATCCACTGAAAACTACTGCCATTTCTCCTTGTTATATTGTCTAGAGTTTTGGTTCCATCCAATTATTAAACACAAAATGTATAACTTATTTTTAATTTAATTTATTTTAATTTTTATTTTGAGACAGAGTCTAGCTCGGTCACCCAGATTGGAGTGCAGTGGCACGATCTCGATTCACTGCAACCTCCGCCTCCTGGGTTCAAGCAATTCTCATGCCTCAGCCTCCCGAGTAGCTGGGATTACAGGCATGTACCAACATATCTGGCTAATTTTTGTATTTTCTGTAGAGACAGCATTTCGTCATATTGGCCAGGCTAGTCTATAACTCCTGACTTCAGGTGATCCACCCGCCTCAGCCTCCCAAAGTGCTGGGGTTACAGGCGTGGGCTATCGCGCCTGGCCATAACTTATTTTTTATACCAATTCCATTCTTTGAACACATATTTACTAAGTGCATACCTTGTGTCAGGTGCCATTCTAGACACTGGGATCTAGTAGCAAACAGCATAGACAGGGCTCCTGCTCTCCCAGGTCTTAGAACTTACATTCCAGTTTTCCTCACTGTTTCTGGCATCCTACTCCTTCATGGGAATTTCTGGATGGTAAACCCTCCCAATGTCTTTGGGTGTGAACATTCTCTTTTCACTCTCATTCTTGAGATACATAGTTTAGCTAGGTATGGAATTCTATTTTGACAGTTATTTCCCTCTATTCTTTATAATGCAAATCATTTTTGCCCATCTGGCTCTCTCAGTTATCTGCTCTACTTGTCCTCTGATTAGTATGACAATTAGTCAGTTCTATTTGCTTCCTGAGAAATAAATGTTCCTTTCTCATAGACAGTGTGAATGTGGGTATATGTGCACATGCACATGTGCACACAGACTGGAGCCTGCACAGTCCAAGATAAAGGTGCAGGCAGATTCAGTGCCTGGCGAGGGCCACCTTTCTGGTCCATAGCCATCTGCTCACTCTATGAGGACAGAATAGGGAGGGCATATGGCAAATGGCTAGGAACACTCATGATTTCATTTGTGGTTTTCCAACCGAAGCATGCTTATATGCTGATGGGAATGACCTAGTTCATTAATCACAAAACTTGACTTTTTAACATATAAGGGAGATAACTGATGGAACAAAATCCCCCAAAAGGCCAGAAGCAGACCAGTGACTAGATTATATGACATTTTTTGTAAGTTAGAAAAGGTACCCCTTTCTCGAAGTAGAACAGACTTACACTGGGGTAGATGGATTGAGGAGTAAAGTGTTAGCCAGACCCCACCACCTTACTCTCTTCAGTCAAGTGTACTTGTGCAGAATCCAAACTGAACAACCATAGCTAGCCTGGACATAGCATAGGAAACGGGGTGGGGGTGACCTCTGAAACAGGGAGGAGCACTTCTTCCTTTGAAGCAGAAGAGGTGAGCACTGCTTAATGGTTGCTACGAATATATGTATAAATAATATATGCTACAAATTCATATATATAAAAAAATATATATTTTGTTTAAACTATAAATAATATAGTAACTGGAATAACTTATATTGTGAATTATTGTCTTGCATCTCATCTCAAGTTACCAAGTAAACACATATCTTCTAACCAGCCCTGGGAAATATAAAGCTTCTTACCCTTTCAAAACCACAAAAGTCTGCCCTGGAAAACTAGAAGAAAAGAAGAAACTTTAATTTTTGCTTGCATATCAGAAGGCCTAACAAAACATAGCAATTTAAATTATACTAAAGGAAATAAACCATATAAATTCGTTGAAACAAAATTATAACTAAATTATATGTTTTTTCTATCCTAGCAGTTAGGATAGCCAAACACTAAAAGCAAACTCTGATATAGTTTATACAATATCCAGGGAATTTCCCCATCAGTCTTTGCCTCATTTCATTATTTTATTAATTTACTTATACTTTAGTGTGATTCCAGAAAGGATTTGAGACGAAAACCATGCCTTTTAATGATTTAAATGGAGGAATTAAGAAGTGTGCAGGTGGGCCTGGCACGGTGGCTCACACCTGTAATCCTAGCACTTTGGGAGGCCGCGATAGGCGGATCACGAGGTCAGGAGTTTGAGACCAGCCTGGCCAACATAGTGAAACTCCGTTTCTCCTAAAAATACAAAAATTAACTGGGCGTGGTGGTGCATGTCTGTAATCCCAGCTACTTGGGAGGCGGAGGCAGGAGAATTGTTTGAACCTAGGAGGCGGAGATTGCAGGGAGCTGAGATCACGCCACTGCACTCCAGCCTGGTAACAGAGCGAGACTCAGTCTCAAAAAAAAAAAAAAAAAAAAAGAAGAAGTGTGCTGGCATATGCAAGTCTGCCGCCCATTTGGGTTTAGGAAGGCACACCCTCAACCTATTATTTTCTCCTTTGCCACTCTGTTCCTTCTGCCCAGGCCAGAGCAGTCCAGAGGTCAGGACTTACAATATACAATCCCCGTCTACTTCTCTGCACTTTGATTTTAAGCCATTGTAGCGTTCCTGGTTTCAACTCTCTGTTTTAGCAATTATATAATAAGCATTTTAAAAACCCCAGATCCCCTAGTCATCTGAGCAACAAATGGTACTTTCTCAGAGATGGTGAGGAAGGCTCAGGTATATGTGAATATTCTTATACCTGAAGAAAGATAATAATTACCATGTATAAGAAATATCTGTGTCTCAATCAATACCATTTCCCCTTCTTTACTTCCCTCTATCTTTTCTCCTACCGATCCCAAGTCTTTATTGCTTGTCTCATCTCTGTTGTGGTAATTTTTGAGAGGTACTTGTTAACATGTTTAAGAATTTTATGGTATGCATATTAACAATCTTCACCTAAACGTGTATTTCCCTTCGCTCAATCCCAATACTTACTTTTCACTTATGTTACTTTGTAATACTATATGTGGCTTTATAAATTACCTTAAAGCATTTGGGTAACATATATAGCTATAAATAAATGGATCAATCAATAGGTAGGTAGACAGATCTTTTCTGCATGTATACATTTAAAACTTACTATAAATTTGTAGAGCAATACAACTAGCACCACTTCCAAATTATATATTCAATACTACGAGGTAAAGGAAAAAGTTACTGTATTATGCCTTTATGTTTTTCGAAAGAAAGAAGCATTTCAATTTTAAGATACACCACACATAACTCAAGTATTAAATATTTCTTTTTGTGTCACAGAAGATATTTAAGATTAGCTATTAGTTACAAAGCAATTTACATACCGATAAGCTGTGGCGTGATGGATAACGAAGATCTTCACTTACAAAAAGGCCCAAAGAGGTGAGGATAACTAAAAAATGATTCGTTAAAACCATATCCACCAATGAAAGGTCTTCATATTCTAAACGAAGAAATCATACCATGGATTAAAAAGTAAGAAAAAAG